>NT_187388.1:0-179772 GCF_000001405.40 Homo sapiens | reverse complement strand
GAATTCTGCTTCACAATGATAGGAAGAGCCGACATCGAAGGATCAAAAAGCGACGTCGCTATGAACGCTTGGCCGCCACAAGCCAGTTATCCCTGTGGTAACTTTTCTGACACCTCCTGCTTAAAACCCAAAAGGTCAGAAGGATCGTGAGGCCCCGCTTTCACGGTCTGTATTCGTACTGAAAATCAAGATCAAGCGAGCTTTTGCCCTTCTGCTCCACGGGAGGTTTCTGTCCTCCCTGAGCTCGCCTTAGGACACCTGCGTTACCGTTTGACAGGTGTACCGCCCCAGTCAAACTCCCCACCTGGCACTGTCCCCGGAGCGGGTCGCGCCCGGCCGGCGCGCGGCCGGGCGCTTGGCGCCAGAAGCGAGAGCCCCTCGGGGCTCGCCCCCCCGCCTCACCGGGTCAGTGAAAAAACGATCAGAGTAGTGGTATTTCACCGGCGGCCCGCAGGGCCGGCGGACCCCGCCCCGGGCCCCTCGCGGGGACACCGGGGGGGCGCCGGGGGCCTCCCACTTATTCTACACCTCTCATGTCTCTTCACCGTGCCAGACTAGAGTCAAGCTCAACAGGGTCTTCTTTCCCCGCTGATTCCGCCAAGCCCGTTCCCTTGGCTGTGGTTTCGCTGGATAGTAGGTAGGGACAGTGGGAATCTCGTTCATCCATTCATGCGCGTCACTAATTAGATGACGAGGCATTTGGCTACCTTAAGAGAGTCATAGTTACTCCCGCCGTTTACCCGCGCTTCATTGAATTTCTTCACTTTGACATTCAGAGCACTGGGCAGAAATCACATCGCGTCAACACCCGCCGCGGGCCTTCGCGATGCTTTGTTTTAATTAAACAGTCGGATTCCCCTGGTCCGCACCAGTTCTAAGTCGGCTGCTAGGCGCCGGCCGAGGCGAGGCGCCGCGCGGAACCGCGGCCCCGGGGGCGGACCCGGCGGGGGGGACCGGCCCGCGGCCCCTCCGCCGCCCGCCGCCGCCGCCGCCGCCGCGCGCCGAGGAGGAGGGGGGAACGGGGGGCGGACGGGGCCGGGGGGGTAGGGCGGGGGGACGAACCGCCCCGCCCCGCCGCCCGCCGACCGCCGCCGCCGCCCGACCGCTCCCCGCCCCCAGCGGACGCGCGCGCGACGAGACGTGGGGTGGGGGTGGGGGGGGCGCGCCGGCGCCCGCCGGGCTCCCCGGGGGCGGCCGCGACGCCCGCCGCAGCTGGGGCGATCCACGGGAAGGGCCCGGCTCGCGTCCAGAGTCGCCGCCGCCGCCGGCCCCCCGGGTGCCCGGGCCCCCCTCGCGGGGGACCGTGCCCCCGCCGCCGGGGCCCCGCGGCGGCCGCCGCCGGCCCCTGCCGCCCCGACCCTTCTCCCCCCGCCGCCGCCCCCACGCGGCGCTCCCCCGGGGAGGGGGGAGGACGGGGAGCGGGGGAGAGAGAGAGAGAGAGGGCGCGGGGTGGGGAGGGAGCGAGCGGCGCGCGCGGGGTGGGGCGGGGGAGGGCCGCGAGGGGGGTGCCCCGGGCGTGGGGGGGGCGGCGGCGCCTCGTCCAGCCGCGGCGCGCGCCCAGCCCCGCTTCGCGCCCCAGCCCGACCGACCCAGCCCTTAGAGCCAATCCTTATCCCGAAGTTACGGATCCGGCTTGCCGACTTCCCTTACCTACATTGTTCCAACATGCCAGAGGCTGTTCACCTTGGAGACCTGCTGCGGATATGGGTACGGCCCGGCGCGAGATTTACACCCTCTCCCCCGGATTTTCAAGGGCCAGCGAGAGCTCACCGGACGCCGCCGGAACCGCGACGCTTTCCAAGGCACGGGCCCCTCTCTCGGGGCGAACCCATTCCAGGGCGCCCTGCCCTTCACAAAGAAAAGAGAACTCTCCCCGGGGCTCCCGCCGGCTTCTCCGGGATCGGTCGCGTTACCGCACTGGACGCCTCGCGGCGCCCATCTCCGCCACTCCGGATTCGGGGATCTGAACCCGACTCCCTTTCGATCGGCCGAGGGCAACGGAGGCCATCGCCCGTCCCTTCGGAACGGCGCTCGCCCATCTCTCAGGACCGACTGACCCATGTTCAACTGCTGTTCACATGGAACCCTTCTCCACTTCGGCCTTCAAAGTTCTCGTTTGAATATTTGCTACTACCACCAAGATCTGCACCTGCGGCGGCTCCACCCGGGCCCGCGCCCTAGGCTTCAAGGCTCACCGCAGCGGCCCTCCTACTCGTCGCGGCGTAGCGTCCGCGGGGCTCCGGGGGCGGGGAGCGGGGCGTGGGCGGGAGGAGGGGAGGAGGCGTGGGGGGGGGGGCGGGGGAGGACCCCACACCCCCGCCGCCGCCGCCGCCGCCGCCCTCCGACGCACACCACACGCGCGCGCGCGCGCGCCGCCCCCGCCGCTCCCGTCCACTCTCGACTGCCGGCGACGGCCGGGTATGGGCCCGACGCTCCAGCGCCATCCATTTTCAGGGCTAGTTGATTCGGCAGGTGAGTTGTTACACACTCCTTAGCGGATTCCGACTTCCATGGCCACCGTCCTGCTGTCTATATCAACCAACACCTTTTCTGGGGTCTGATGAGCGTCGGCATCGGGCGCCTTAACCCGGCGTTCGGTTCATCCCGCAGCGCCAGTTCTGCTTACCAAAAGTGGCCCACTAGGCACTCGCATTCCACGCCCGGCTCCACGCCAGCGAGCCGGGCTTCTTACCCATTTAAAGTTTGAGAATAGGTTGAGATCGTTTCGGCCCCAAGACCTCTAATCATTCGCTTTACCGGATAAAACTGCGTGGCGGGGGTGCGTCGGGTCTGCGAGAGCGCCAGCTATCCTGAGGGAAACTTCGGAGGGAACCAGCTACTAGATGGTTCGATTAGTCTTTCGCCCCTATACCCAGGTCGGACGACCGATTTGCACGTCAGGACCGCTACGGACCTCCACCAGAGTTTCCTCTGGCTTCGCCCTGCCCAGGCATAGTTCACCATCTTTCGGGTCCTAACACGTGCGCTCGTGCTCCACCTCCCCGGCGCGGCGGGCGAGACGGGCCGGTGGTGCGCCCTCGGCGGACTGGAGAGGCCTCGGGATCCCACCTCGGCCGGCGAGCGCGCCGGCCTTCACCTTCATTGCGCCACGGCGGCTTTCGTGCGAGCCCCCGACTCGCGCACGTGTTAGACTCCTTGGTCCGTGTTTCAAGACGGGTCGGGTGGGTAGCCGACGTCGCCGCCGACCCCGTGCGCTCGCTCCGCCGTCCCCCTCTTCGGGGGACGCGCGCGTGGCCCCGAGAGAACCTCCCCCGGGCCCGACGGCGCGACCCGCCCGGGGCGCACTGGGGACAGTCCGCCCCGCCCCCCGACCCGCGCGCGGCACCCCCCCCGTCGCCGGGGCGGGGGCGCGGGGAGGAGGGGTGGGAGAGCGGTCGCGCCGTGGGAGGGGTGGCCCGGCCCCCCCACGAGGAGACGCCGGCGCGCCCCCGCGGGGGAGACCCCCCTCGCGGGGGATTCCCCGCGGGGGTGGGCGCCGGGAGGGGGGAGAGCGCGGCGACGGGTCTCGCTCCCTCGGCCCCGGGATTCGGCGAGTGCTGCTGCCGGGGGGGCTGTAACACTCGGGGGGGGTTTCGGTCCCGCCGCCGCCGCCGCCGCCGCCACCGCCGCCGCCGCCGCCGCCCCGACCCGCGCGCCCTCCCGAGGGAGGACGCGGGGCCGGGGGGCGGAGACGGGGGAGGAGGAGGACGGACGGACGGACGGACGGGGCCCCCCGAGCCACCTTCCCCGCCGGGCCTTCCCAGCCGTCCCGGAGCCGGTCGCGGCGCACCGCCGCGGTGGAAATGCGCCCGGCGGCGGCCGGTCGCCGGTCGGGGGACGGTCCCCCGCCGACCCCACCCCCGGCCCCGCCCGCCCACCCCCGCACCCGCCGGAGCCCGCCCCCTCCGGGGAGGAGGAGGAGGGGCGGCGGGGGAAGGGAGGGCGGGTGGAGGGGTCGGGAGGAACGGGGGGCGGGAAAGATCCGCCGGGCCGCCGACACGGCCGGACCCGCCGCCGGGTTGAATCCTCCGGGCGGACTGCGCGGACCCCACCCGTTTACCTCTTAACGGTTTCACGCCCTCTTGAACTCTCTCTTCAAAGTTCTTTTCAACTTTCCCTTACGGTACTTGTTGACTATCGGTCTCGTGCCGGTATTTAGCCTTAGATGGAGTTTACCACCCGCTTTGGGCTGCATTCCCAAGCAACCCGACTCCGGGAAGACCCGGGCCCGGCGCGCCGGGGGCCGCTACCGGCCTCACACCGTCCACGGGCTGGGCCTCGATCAGAAGGACTTGGGCCCCCCACGAGCGGCGCCGGGGAGCGGGTCTTCCGTACGCCACATGTCCCGCGCCCCGCCGCGGGGCGGGGATTCGGCGCTGGGCTCTTCCCTGTTCACTCGCCGTTACTGAGGGAATCCTGGTTAGTTTCTTCTCCTCCGCTGACTAATATGCTTAAATTCAGCGGGTCGCCACGTCTGATCTGAGGTCGCGTCTCGGAGGGGGACGGGCCGCTCGGCGGACGGACGGACGGAATCGCGCCGGCCCGACCGCCCGCCCGACGCTCCGTCGGGAGACGGGCCCGGCGAGGGGGAGAGGCGACGGGAGAGAGAGCGCGCGGCCGACGGCGCCCCCGCGCCGCCCCGCCGGAGCGGGACGACCGGAGGGAGGGGCACGGGCCGGGGGCGGGACGGGCGCCGCACGCCCCGACCCGTCTCCCCCGCGGAGGTCGGGGGGACGGGTCCGAGGACGCGGCGGCGGAGCCGCCCCGCCCCGACGCGGAAGCTCGGGACGGGGCCCCGGCGCGGCGCGGCGCGGCCGCGAGCCGGAGGCGGGCGCGCGACGGCGGACGACACCGCGGCGTCCCGCGGGTCGCCGCCGGGGACACGCGAACCCCGGCGCCGCGGCCACGGGCGCGGCCGGGCGGGCCGCGGGGCGGGCTCCCGGCCCCGGCCGACGCGCCGCGAGGCGAGCCGGGCGGGCGGGCGCGCGCGCGTACGCGCGGGGAGGGCGAGGAGGACGGGCGGGGCCTCGGAGGAGGGGCGGCGGGGAGGAGGAGGGGCGCGGGAGCGGCGGTCGGCCGGACGCCGGGCCGCCACCGGGGGCGGGCGGCGAACCGCGGCGACCGGGACGCGCTCCCCCGACCCTCTCTCCCCGCCGGCACCCTTCCCCTTCCGGACCCGCCTTCCTCCTCCCCCACCACCACACCGCACGCAACACGCCCCCACCGCCGACGACGCGCGACGACGACGACGACGACGGGCACGGGACCTTCCACCCGGCCGGGGCCGACGAACCCCGAACCCCGAGCCGCGCGCGGCGCGAGGGAGCCCCCCGAGGGAGGAACCCGGACCGCAGGCGGCGGCCACGGGAACTCGGCCCGAGCCGGCTCTCTCTTTCCCTCTCCGTCTTCGCGGGCGGCGGCGGCGCCGCCCTCCCCGTCTCTCTCAGCCGGGCGCGCCCCCCTCTCCCCCCCGCCACCCGACGCGTGACCACGCAGGGCCCGCGGGGGGAGGGGGAAGGGGCGGGCGCGGCGGCAAGGGGAGGGCGGACGCCGCCGGGTCTGCGCTTAGGGGGACGGAGGGCCCCCGGCGGGCCCTGCGAGGGAACCCCCAGCCGCGCACCCCGAGGAGCCCGGAGGCACCCCCGGGGGCGATTGATCGGCAAGCGACGCTCAGACAGGCGTAGCCCCGGGAGGAACCCGGGGCCGCAAGTGCGTTCGAAGTGTCGATGATCAATGTGTCCTGCAATTCACATTAATTCTCGCAGCTAGCTGCGTTCTTCATCGACGCACGAGCCGAGTGATCCACCGCTAAGAGTCGTACGAGGTCGATTTGGCGAGGGCGCTCCCGACGACGCACCGGGAGGAGGCCCTTCCTGGCGCGGCACGTCCCCCCCCCCCCCGCCCAAGAGGAGAGGGGGTTGCCTCAGGCCGGCCAGACGAGACAGCAAACGGGACCGGACTCCGGAGAGGGGTCGGAAGGTTTCACACCACGGGGAGGCGCGCGCCGCCCACGCGGGGGCGAGCGCGGACACCACCCCACAGGCGCCCGGGGGTTCCCGCCCCCACGGCGCGGGGCGCACGCCACACGCGCGGCAGGCGCGCGACGGCCGCCGGGTAAAGCCCCCACCCGACGGCCGCCGCGGCGGCGGCGGCGGCGCGGCCCCGGCCGGGGAGCGGAGTCCGCGGTGGAGGCGCGGGAGGGGCCGGGCCCCTCCCGACGGGACTCCCCCGCGGGCCCACCACCGCCCCCGACCCACGGGCGGACGGGCGATCCCCCCAAGGGGTCTTTAAACCTCCGCGCCGGAACGCGCTAGGTACCTGGACGGCGGGGGGGCGGACGAGGAGGCGGGGGAGGGGACCGGCGTCCGGCCCCCGACCCTCGAGACGCCCTAGCGGGAAGGCCGGGGAGAGCGAGCGGGGCCGTGCCCGGCGGCGCGGAGCGGCGCGGCGGAGGCGACGGGAATCCGGCCGGCCCCGAAGACGGGGAGCCGGCGCGGCGGGGCCGGACGACGGGCCCCGGCGGGGAGGAGGGCACCGAGACCCCCCAGACCCGCCGCGACGCCGCCGAGAACCGCCCCCGCGCCCGCCGACACCCACGTCGTCGGGGCCGCGGCCGGGGACCGCTCCCCGCCGCCCGCCGGCCCCACGACACGCGCACACCAACGACACGCCCTTCTTTCTCTCTCTCTCTCTCTCTCTCCCCCCCGTCTCCCTCCCGAGTTCTCCGGCTCTCGCGGCCGGCGGGGCCGGGCGGCGAACGAACGAGCGAGCGAACGAACGGGCACGCGGGCCCCGCCCGCGCACGCGCCGCGTCGCGGTGGGGGGGCGGGTGTGCGGAGGGAAGCGCGCGGCGGCGGCGGCGCCGCCGCGGGCCTCGCCCTCCGGGCTCCGTTAATGATCCTTCCGCAGGTTCACCTACGGAAACCTTGTTACGACTTTTACTTCCTCTAGATAGTCAAGTTCGACCGTCTTCTCAGCGCTCCGCCAGGGCCGTGGGCCGACCCCGGCGGGGCCGATCCGAGGGCCTCACTAAACCATCCAATCGGTAGTAGCGACGGGCGGTGTGTACAAAGGGCAGGGACTTAATCAACGCAAGCTTATGACCCGCACTTACTGGGAATTCCTCGTTCATGGGGAATAATTGCAATCCCCGATCCCCATCACGAATGGGGTTCAACGGGTTACCCGCGCCTGCCGGCGTAGGGTAGGCACACGCTGAGCCAGTCAGTGTAGCGCGCGTGCAGCCCCGGACATCTAAGGGCATCACAGACCTGTTATTGCTCAATCTCGGGTGGCTGAACGCCACTTGTCCCTCTAAGAAGTTGGGGGACGCCGACCGCTCGGGGGTCGCGTAACTAGTTAGCATGCCAGAGTCTCGTTCGTTATCGGAATTAACCAGACAAATCGCTCCACCAACTAAGAACGGCCATGCACCACCACCCACGGAATCGAGAAAGAGCTATCAATCTGTCAATCCTGTCCGTGTCCGGGCCGGGTGAGGTTTCCCGTGTTGAGTCAAATTAAGCCGCAGGCTCCACTCCTGGTGGTGCCCTTCCGTCAATTCCTTTAAGTTTCAGCTTTGCAACCATACTCCCCCCGGAACCCAAAGACTTTGGTTTCCCGGAAGCTGCCCGGCGGGTCATGGGAATAACGCCGCCGCATCGCCGGTCGGCATCGTTTATGGTCGGAACTACGACGGTATCTGATCGTCTTCGAACCTCCGACTTTCGTTCTTGATTAATGAAAACATTCTTGGCAAATGCTTTCGCTCTGGTCCGTCTTGCGCCGGTCCAAGAATTTCACCTCTAGCGGCGCAATACGAATGCCCCCGGCCGTCCCTCTTAATCATGGCCTCAGTTCCGAAAACCAACAAAATAGAACCGCGGTCCTATTCCATTATTCCTAGCTGCGGTATCCAGGCGGCTCGGGCCTGCTTTGAACACTCTAATTTTTTCAAAGTAAACGCTTCGGGCCCCGCGGGACACTCAGCTAAGAGCATCGAGGGGGCGCCGAGAGGCAAGGGGCGGGGACGGGCGGTGGCTCGCCTCGCGGCGGACCGCCCGCCCGCTCCCAAGATCCAACTACGAGCTTTTTAACTGCAGCAACTTTAATATACGCTATTGGAGCTGGAATTACCGCGGCTGCTGGCACCAGACTTGCCCTCCAATGGATCCTCGTTAAAGGATTTAAAGTGGACTCATTCCAATTACAGGGCCTCGAAAGAGTCCTGTATTGTTATTTTTCGTCACTACCTCCCCGGGTCGGGAGTGGGTAATTTGCGCGCCTGCTGCCTTCCTTGGATGTGGTAGCCGTTTCTCAGGCTCCCTCTCCGGAATCGAACCCTGATTCCCCGTCACCCGTGGTCACCATGGTAGGCACGGCGACTACCATCGAAAGTTGATAGGGCAGACGTTCGAATGGGTCGTCGCCGCCACGGGGGGCGTGCGATCGGCCCGAGGTTATCTAGAGTCACCAAAGCCGCCGGCGCCCGCCCCCCGGCCGGGGCCGGAGAGGGGCTGACCGGGTTGGTTTTGATCTGATAAATGCACGCATCCCCCCCGCGAAGGGGGTCAGCGCCCGTCGGCATGTATTAGCTCTAGAATTACCACAGTTATCCAAGTAGGAGAGGAGCGAGCGACCAAAGGAACCATAACTGATTTAATGAGCCATTCGCAGTTTCACTGTACCGGCCGTGCGTACTTAGACATGCATGGCTTAATCTTTGAGACAAGCATATGCTACTGGCAGGATCAACCAGGTAGGTAGGTAGAGCGCGGCGAGGCCCCGACGCGGCCGGACGGCCGGCCGGGGGGCCTCGCGAGGACGGGCCCGGCGCCCCGCAAGCGAGGAGGACGACGGACGGACGGACGGGCCGCGGACGGGCGGACGGGAGGGAGCGAGCGGGCGCGGGGGCGGCGGCCGGGACCGGTGGGGCCGGGGCGGGGCGCGGCGAACCGGACGCCCCAACCACCCGCCCCCCACGCGACACGACCACCGGGGCCCCGCGCCACAGACCCGCGACGCTTCTTCGTCGCGCCCGCCCGCGAGGAGGCGGACGGCCCGACCCGCGCCCGGCGGCCGGGAGGGACCGGCGGCCACGCGCGCGCGCGCGCGGCCGGCGCCCGCGGGCGGCGGCGAGGCGGGGACGGCGCTCCGCCCGCCCCGCGGGGCGGCCCCGACGTCCGGGCGGCGAGCGAGAGGCGGACCGCGGTGCCCGGCCCGGGGACAGTCGCGCCGTGCGGCCGCAGCGCCCGCGCACCGGTCCGGTCGAGGGCCCGGGGCCCGGCCGAAGCCCGGCTCCGAGCCCCGCCGGCGGGCGCGGGCGCAGGGGTGGCACACGCCACACGACGGCCAAGGGAGGGCCGACCGAGGCCGGCCGGCGCGCCCGCCCCCGCCCGGGACGGGGGACCGCGACCGGGGCCGAGGCCCCGGCCCGGGCCCCACCCCCCGACCCGGGGAAAGGGCGAGCGACCGGCAAGGCGGAGGTCGACCCACGCCACACGTCGCACGAACGCCTGTCCGGGAGGGACCACCGGGCCGCGCTCGGGCGCACGCGCGCGCCGAACGGGGCGACGCCACGCGGGGAGGACGGGCTCTCCCCGACGCCGACGCCCGGGACGGACGCCTCGGGGAAGGGCCGCGGCAGGCCCGGGAAGCGAGGCGCACCCGGGGGACGCGCCGACCCGGTTCGGAAGAGCGGGCCGGGAGAAGACGAGAGACCACGGGCGAGGCCGGGGCGACGGGGAAGGCGCGAGAAAGGCGGCCGGCGGGGAAGGGGACGCCACGGGGACCCCGCGAGCGCGGCCGACCGCAGCCGGGACACACGCGCGGGGCCTCACCGCCGCCGGCGGCACCGCGCGGCACCCGGGGCGGCCGACCGGCCCTCGGCGATCCCCGCGGCTCCCCCCACCACCGCCGCCGCAGTCGCGGCCGGTCCCCCGGAACCGTCTCCTCCCCCGCACGCGCCGCAGGCCGACCCCCGGAACCCTCCGGGAAGCCCACCGGGCCCCACGCGGGGCGCCACCGACCCGGTCCCCAAGGCGCGCGCCGGGGGACGCGGACGCCGGGCCGATCAGTGGCCGGCGGCGGCGCCCCACGAGGCGGTGCCGGGTTCGGTCCCAGGCGGGGCCACCAACGGACGTGAAGCCGGTGAGCCGCTCGGGGGGAAGAAGAGGATCGGCGGGCGGCGGGCGGGGAAGAGGGCACAGACGGGCGAGGGCCGGGGACCGCGAGGGCAAGGGCACCCGGGAGCCCGCAGAGGCGGCGGCTCGGGGAGAAACCTCAGGCACGGCCGGGCCACCAGGAAAACACGGCCGCGGGATCCCACCGCCACAGACACGAGGGCGGTCCCGCGGCGCCCCGCCTGGGACGCCGGACGGCCCTCGGCCCCCACCGAGAACCGCCTCGCGAGCCCCGGGGCCCCGCCACCGGGGGCCCCGGAGCGACCGCAGCCACGAACCCGACACGCCCGCACCACCGTCGCTCGTGATTCTCGTCCATCCTCCGACCCGGTCCCGCTCCGGGAGACCGGCGCGCCCCCACCGTGGGACGCTTTCCCAGGGCCAGGCGGGCCCGACCCCGTGCCACGCAAACGCGGTCGTCGGCACCGGTCACGACTCGGCACGGGAGCGGGCGGAGAGCCGACTCGCGGCGGAGGGGGTCACGCGCCGGACAGAGCGCCGGGCGCGCACACCCACCGCCCGCCGGCCGCCGCGTCCCAACCCGCTGGGAACGCCGGGCCCGGCCCGGCGGGATCCTCCCCCGACTCGGAAGGGGGGAGGCGCGGGCCACAGTAGGCGACGAGCCGCACTCGGCCACCACCGCGGTGGCCGGCGGAACCCTCGCTTCTCCCCCCCAACCCCGTCGAGGGGGAAGCGGAGGAGGGTCCTCTGCGAGCGGGTCGCTAACGGCAGCGCTACCATAACGGAGGCAGAGACAGAGGCGGCGGCCCGGGGGATCCGGTACCCCCAAGGCACGCCTCTCAGATCGCTAGAGAAGGCTTTTCTCACCGAGGGTGGGTCACACTCCCCCCACCCGCCAGCCGCTCCTCCTCGGGCCCGCAGAGGCGCCGAGGGACGCCTGGGGAAGGGAGGGGGCCCTGCGGTACGAGGAAACACCTGCGCGCGGCCACCTCGAGCGTTCGCGTTCAGGGCGGGGGCCCGGCCGGTGCGCGCGTGCGCGCAACCCCACCAGGCCCCCCCGTCCACCCACCTCCTTCCTTCCGAGGCAGAGCGCCTCCGAAGTCAACCCACACACGACCGGTCGGAGGCAGAACGGCAGCCCCTCGGCGGCCGGCCGGCGCACGCGTCACACCGGCCCGAACCCACCGCGATCGCTCACACGGCCCGCGCGCACCCGCCAGAGGGGAGCACGGGACGTGCGCTCACCGAGAGCAGGCGGGCGCCCTTCCCCGCGTGGGAGGGGCGCGTCTCGTCTCGTCTCACTCAAACCGCCTCGAACCCCACACCGACGAGCTCCCTCAGGACCCACGCGCGGACACCGCGGCGGCGACCGGAGGAGGGGGCGCCGGGGGCGGGAACGACACACCACCGTTCGGCCTCGGGCACCTGAGGGACAACCCGGAGCGCTCCAGGAGCACCGCAAGGGCCCAGGCGGAGCCGACGCTCGCGCAAACCCCCCCGAGAGGGCAGCACGACGGGCCGGCGGGACGGCACCCCCACCGCCGCGGAGGGGGGCCGCCCGCAAGTCGACAACCACTGGAGGCGACAGCGAGGGCTGTCTGCCGCGTCGGAGGACCCCGCCGGCCCGCCCCGCGACGCAGAAGGCGGCGGGCGGGACGGCGAGGTCGGGCCGGGGTCCGCACCCCACGCCTTCCCACACGCACCGCCGGCGGGCGGGGAGAGGAGAGACGAGGGGACCCCCGCGGGGCGGAGCGAGAAGGACGGTCCCGTTCGCCACGAACGTCCGCCCCTCGCCCGTCGCGGCTCGGACCCGGCCCGGGAGAGCACGACGTCACCACATCGATCACGAAGAGCCCCCCGGGAGCGGAGGCCGGCCGGCCGGCCAGCGAGCCGATCGGCTCCGGCCAACCCCCCACTCCGGGGAAGGGGCGGCGGACAACCCCGCGGAGACGAGAACGCCTGACACGCACGGCACGGAGCCAGCGGGGTGGGGTTGTCGCGGCCGCCCCGGGCGCCCGCAGCGGAGAGCGCACGGGGGCACGGTGGCCCTCGCCGCCTTCCCCGCCGCCCCCCGGGTGGGTCAGAGACCCGGACCCGGGCCGGCACCGGGAGTCGGGACGCTCGGACGCGCGAGAGAACAGCAGGCCCGCGGGCCCCGGCAGGCGGCTCAAGCAGGAGCGCGGCCGGCTAGCCGGGTCACCGGTAGGCCAGAGCCCCGCGCGCATCCGGAGGCCCAACCTCTCCAGCGACAGGTCGCCAGAGGACAGCGTGTCAGCAATAACCCGGCGGCCCAAAATGCCGACTCGGAGCGAAAGATATACCTCCCCCGGGGCCGGGAGGTCGCGTCACCGACCACGCCGCCGGCCCAGGCGACGCGCGACACGGACACCTGTCCCCAAAAACGCCACCATCGCAGCCACACACGGAGCGCCCGGGGCCCTCTGGTCAACCCCAGGACACACGCGGGAGCAGCGCCGGGCCGGGGACGCCCTCCCGGCCGCCCGTGCCACACGCAGGGGGCCGGCCCGTGTCTCCAGAGCGGGAGCCGGAAGCATTTTCGGCCGGCCCCTCCTACGACCGGGACACACGAGGGACCGAAGGCCGGCCAGGCGCGACCTCTCGGGCCGCACGCGCGCTCAGGGAGCGCTCTCCGACTCCGCACGGGGACTCGCCAGAAAGGATCGCGGCAGAGGGACCGCGGCCCGGCCCGGGGACCGCTCCCCGGCACCCGGGGGACGGGGGCGGGACGGTCCCCGGCTCCCCACGGGGACTCGGAAACGAATTCGGCCGCCGCCTCAGACGGCCAGGATGAGCGCGGACCCGCGACCGGGCCGGGAAGGGCGTCCCCAGCCTCCCGCGCCACGCGCGGCGGGTCCCCGCGGGTCGCGGCTCGGGCCTCGGGAGCTACGGCGCGCTGGTCGACCGGCCCGGGCAGCCCCACGCCCGCCTCGGGCCCAGAAGCGCAGCGACAGCCTCTCCCCCACATAAACCTGCACGCCAGAGCTGTGACTCACAAGCGACGCGCCACAGCTCTGGCGCCACCGGGCCAGCCGGGCTGACGACCGCGGGCTTTCCGGAGCTCTGCCTAGCTCACAGCGGGGACGGTCCCCTCCCTCGGCAGCTGCCACCGCAGCTCCGGAAGCCGAGAGCACGATCTCAAAGCGGCCGCCAGATGGAGCCCGACAACCGCCGCGGACGTCAGCGAGACAGATCCGGCTGGCAGGGCGGCCCGTGGACCGCGAAAGCGAAACCGTGAGTCGAGAAGCTCTTCCCGAGGCCGAAAACGCAGCCCCTCTGCCCCAACCCCACACAAACGGTGCCCAAAACGCGTCTCTGCCTCGACCGCGACAGAGTCAGAAGACAACCCACGGCGCGTGGGTGTTTGGAGATGCCTCTCGGAAGCAGGGAGGGAGGGAGGGAGGGAGGGAGGGAGGGAGGGAGGGAGGGAGAAAGAACACACAAGGACTCGGTCGCGGGTCGCTGCAGACACACGGAGAGGCAGAATGCGTAGGCTCTTCCGGAATCCACGCAGAGACAGACGGGGGGAGGGGAGTGGGGAAAAGAGACAGATGGCGAAAGGGAAGGAGGGAGGGAAGGGAGCAGGGAGGGAGGGAGGGAGGGAGGGAGGAAGAAAATGGAGAAAAGAGAGACAATTTAGAAAACGTAGATACACAAAGTAAACTTCTGAAACACTCCATTTTTTAAAAGACAGGCGGAAAGGAAAGAAACACGAAAAAGAGAGAAAGAATGAGGAAAGAAACGAAGGAAAGAAGGGAAAAAGAAACAGAGAGGAAAGAAAAAAGAAGGAAAGACAGGGAACGAAAGAGAAATAAAGCACGAAGGAAAAAAGGACAGAAAGAGAGAAAGAAGGAAAGGAAGAGAGGAAGAAAAACCTAAAGAAGGAGAGAAAGGAAGAAAGGAAGGAAGAAAAACACGAAGGAGAGGAAGAAAGGAAACAGAGATAACTACGTACGCTCGTTCATTTACACACATAAATACGACGCTTTTCATACGTAAAATAAACGTCTTTATCGACGATCCCTTCTTTATAGAGCGATGTGTATTTATTTGTATAACACAAACACCTACATCTATCATACAGAAGTCTATTTCCATACAACCGATACGTATTTACCATACGCAAGAGTATTCAATGCAGAGATACACGTTGTCGTTGTTTGCATATAAGCGTACAGAAACGTTTACATTACTACATATAAGTAAACGCGTGGAAACGAAAGAAATAAAAAAGCGAAATGAGTCAACAGGCCGGGCACGGTGGCTCACGCCCGTCATCCCAGCACTTCGAGAGGCCGAGGTGGGCGCATCACAGGAGGTCGGGAGTTGGAGACCAGCCTGAGCAACATGGAGAGACACGGCGTGCCTACTAAAAACACAAACATCAGCCAAGCCAGGCGTGGGGGTGCCTCCCTGTCATCCCCGCTAATCGGGAGGCTGAGGCAGGAGAAGCGCTCGAACCCGGGAGGCGGAAGGTGCGGTGAGCCAAGATCGCGCCATTGCACTCTAGCCGTGGAAACAAGAGTGAAACTCTGTCTCAAAAGGACGAAACAGAAAGAAAGAAAGAAAGGAAGGAAGGAAGGAAGGAAGGAAGGAAGAAAGAAAGAAAAGAAAGAAGGAATGAATGAAAGAAAAGAAAGCAAGAAAGAAAGAAAGAAAGAAAAAGAAAAGAAAGAAAGAAAAGAAAGCAAGAAAGCACGAAAGCAAGCAAGCAAGAAAGCAAGAAAACAAGGAAGCAAGAAAGCAAGCAAGAAAGAAACAAAAGAAAGAAAGCAAGAAAGCAAGAAAGCACGAAAGCAAGCAAGCAAGAAAGCAAGAAAACAAGGAAGCAAGAAAGAAAGAAACAAAAGAAAGAAAGAAAACAAGAAAGCAAGAAAGCACGAAAGCAATCAAGCAAGAAAGCAAGCAGGAAAGAAACAAAAGAAAGAAAGAAAGCGAGAAAACAAGAAAGCACGAAAGCAAGCAAGCAAGAAAGCAAGCAAGAAAGAAACAAAAGAAAGAAAGAAAGAAAGAAAACAGGAAAGCAAGAAAGCACGAAAGCAAGCAAGCAAGCAAGAAAGCAAGCAAGAAAGAAACAATAGAAAGAAAGAAAGAAAGAAAGAAAAAGAAAACAGGAAAGCAAGAAAGCACGAAAGCAAGCAAGCAAGCAAGAAAGCAAGCATGAAAGAAACGAAAGAAAGAAAGAAAGCAAGAAAACGGGAAAGCAAGAAAGCACGAAAGCAAGCAAGCAAGCGAGCGAGAGAGAGAGAGAGAGAGAGAGAGAGAGAGAGAGAGAGAGAGGCTGGGCGCGGTGGCTCACGCCTGTCATCCCAGCACTTTGGGAGGCTAAGGCAGGCGGACCACCTGAGGTTGGGAGTGGGAGACCAGCCTGACCAACATGGAAAAACACCGTCTCTACTAAAAGTACAAACATCAGCCAGGCACGGTGGCCCATGCCTGTAATCCCAGCTAATCAGGAGGCTGAGGCAGGAGAATCGCTTGAACCTGGGAGGCGGAGGGTGCGGTGAGCCGAGATCGCGCCATTGCCCTCTAGCCTGGGCAACAAGAGTGAAACTCTGTCTCAAAAAAAAAAGAAGAAGAAGAAGAAGAAGAAGAAGAAGAAGAAGAAGAAGAAGAAGAAGAAGAAAAAGAGAAAGTAATAAAGAAAGAAAGAAAGAAAAGGCAAGGCCAGGCAAGTCCAGGCAAGGCAAATCTACCTGCTTTCACTACATCTGGGGAGAATCAGGAAAGTCCCCAACAACAACAAGGCCTAAAGTGGAGCTGCCATCTGTCAAACCCGAGCGGAAGAGTCCACGCGGGTTAAAGACACGAAGAAAGACAAGGAAACCCCTGACCAAGGAGAAGAACAATCGGGCCCAGCCAGGGTCTGTCTCCCGGGGTTGTCTGGGCAACCAGGGAGGGCGGGCCTCCGAGACTCCGTCTCGAAACATCAATCATGATAATAACATAAAATGAAGTTAAAAAAAGAAATCACGCATAATTCCTAACGTGTTTGAGGCCTCGAAAGGCGAGAGGCGTACGTGTATGTCACGGTGGGGTTGTTCTGTTTTGTTGTTTTTTTCTTTTTTCTTTTCTTCTTTTTCCCCAGAAACTCACTTTTTAATTATTTTGTTGCGTTTCATTTTCATTTTCATTTTTTGGAGACGGAGTCTCGCTCTGTCGCCCAGGCTGGGTTGCAGTGGCGCGATCTCGGCTCACTGCAACCTCCGCCTCCCAGGTTCAAGCGATTCTCCTGCCTCAGCTCGGCCTCCCGAGTAGCTGGGATTACAGACAGTACAGCACAGCACAGCGCCCGGCTAATGTTGTGTATTGTGAGTAGAGACGGGGTTTCACCATACTGGCCCTGTTGGTCTGACCGCCTCTTGATCCACCGGCCTTGGCCTCCCAAAGTGAGGGGATGACAGGCTTGAGCCACCGCGCAGGGCCCATTTATTTATTTTATTTTATTTATTTATTTTAATTTATGTATGTATGTATGTATGTATGTATTTATTTATGTATTTATTTTTGAGACGGAGTTTCGCTCTTGTTGCTCAGACTGGAGTGCGATGGCGCAATCTCGGCTCACTGCAACCTCCGCTTCCCAGGTTCAAGCGATTCTCCTGCCTCAGCCTTCCTAGCAGCTGGGATTATAGGCCTGTGCCACCGCGCCCGGCTAGTTTTGTATTTTCAATTGAGACGGGATTTCTCCATGTTGGTCGGGCTTGTCTCCAACTCCCGACTTCAGGTGATGCGTCCACCTCGGCATCCCAAAGTGACGGGATGACAGGCATGAGCCACCGCGCCCGGCCTATTGTATTGTATTGTATTGTATTGTATTGTATTGTATTGTATTGTATTGTATTGTATTGTATCGTATCGTATCGTATTGTATCCTATCGTATCCTATCGCATCCTATCGTATCGTATCTTATTGTATTGTAATGGGTTGTATTGACTTATTTTATTTAGTTAGTTACTTTTGTGTTATTTTATTTATTTATCTGTTTGTTCGTTTTTGCCTGATCAAAGGTCAATCAGACCCAGTCGTCAAAGTGGCGATTTCCTAGGCAACAAGGGAGGGAGGAACTTGGAGGTGGGGGCGGGGGCGGTGGAGAAGACACAGTTGCCCCAGGCTGTGCGCAGGCGGCCTGGTGCTCCCTTCCTCTGTGAGGCCTCCGTTTTCAGAGTAACAGTGACCGCTAGGTGATGCCCGACGCCTGCCAGTGAGCGTGTCAGCCCGGAATGAATTGGGATCCCCTGGGGAGGGGGTGGGGGGAAGGATGGAGGCTCCCACAGCACAGTGGGTCACCGCGCCCTCCAAGGCGATCCCCACAACTAATCGACCAGGGCTCCTGGGGGGACGCAGCCTAAGTCCCCCACCCATCGGATCATCTGGAACTTCCGTCCAGAGACGAGAGACCGACTGGGAATCCTCTCAGTCAAGGTCCAAACCGAAAAGAATCACTGGCACGGACACCAGGGCTAAGGCCATTTCTAAAAGACTGGTTTCTGTGTTTTGGGTGAATCCGTGTATTTCTGTATCACAAAATGACTGACTTTGAACGTTACGATTTTTCTCCTCCTTACGTGTACGGTCCTGTGATAGACAGACCAGGGGACTCCTCGGCTCAGAGTCCGTGAGGCCAGAAGCTGACGTCCCAAATTTCTATTTAGAATGAGTTTAAGCACGCCAGCCAAACGCTCTGCCGTGAAACTGTCTGTCGGGAAGACAAGCGGGGGAAGGGGAAAGGGGGGGTCCGGGCGCGGTAGGCTCGCGCCTGTCATCCCCGCACTTTTGGGAGGCCGAGGGCCGGTGGATCCCTCGGTCCAAGCCTTGGCAACACGGTGAAACCTCGTCTCAAAAAAAAAAAAAAAAAAAAAAAAAAAAAATTACAAAAACTAACTGGTTTCATAACCTGGACTCAAAGTTAATAAATAGATAAATAGGCCGGGGGCGGTGGCTCACGCCTGTCATCCCAGCACTTTGGGAGGCCGAGGTGGACGGATCACGGGGTCAGGAGATCGAGACCATCCTGGCTACCACAGTGAAACCCCATCTCTACTCAAAATACAAAAAGTTAGCCGGGCACGGTGGCGGGCGCCTGTAGTCCCAGCTACTTGGGAGGCTGAGGCAGGAGAATGGCGTGAACCCGGGAGGCGGAGCTTGCAGTGAGCCGAGATCACGCCGCTGCACTCCAGCCTGGGCAGCAGAGCGAGAGTCTGTCTCGAAAATAAATAAATAAGTAAATAAATAAATAAATAAATAAATGTAAATAAATAAATAGATTAAAATGGAAAACTAAAAAAAAGTAAAATAATTAAAAAAATAAATAAATAAACGTAGCCGGCCAGTCACGATGGCTCACGCCTGTCACCCCAGCACTTTGGGAGGCCGGGGCGGGCAGATCCACTGGGGTCGCCAGTTCGAGACCAGCCTGACCCACATGGAGAAATGCCGTCTCTACTAACAATACAAAATCAGCTGGGTGTGGTGGCTCCTCCCTGTAATCCCAGCTACTCAGGAGGCTGAGGCAGGAGAATCGCTTGAACGCGGGAGGTGGAGGTTGCGGTGAGCCGAGATGGTGCCACTGCACTCCAGCGTGGGCACCAAGAGTGAAACTCCGTCCGAAGGGAAAAAAAAAAATTAATTAAGTGCTGTATTCTGTTATTTTTGCTTCCTACCCTGAGAAGAACATAATACAGCTGTTGTCTTTCTGCCTGCCTGCCTGCCTGCCTGCCTGTGGCAGGGCCTCATTCTGTCTTTCGCCCAGACTGGAGCACAGTGACACAACTATGGCTCACTCACTGCAACCTCAACCTCCCCAGGGTTAGGTGATTCCTCGAGGGATCCTACGGCCTCGGCCTCCCAAAGTGTTGGGGTTACAGGCGTGAGCCACCAGCACCCGGCCTGAGTTAATACATCTGGTCTCACTACGTCTTAACCACGCACCCACGAAGAACTCAAGTCAAGAGAGAGTCGGCAAGAGACTCTCAGCATTCTCTCCCGAAAGCACGTGTGTCCCGAGCTCCTGTGGTTTCAGGTGGCCGCGCGTAGAGGAGAGATTTCCAATGTTTCCGGAGAGGTGCGAGCCACAGTCACTCGGGGCATCCGAGCATGAGATGGGGTTTCTGACAGCGACTGAAGGGCCAGGAAGGGCCAGAATCTGCCAAGGCCCGGCGTTCCAGGGTGGGGCCGAGGGAACCCAAGGTAGAGGGAGTCAGCGGTCCGCACGGAGAGAGCTCCAGCCCTAGGCCCCACTGTGCAGACCGAATCAGAAGGAAGAGAGTCCTTCGTCCTACCTGCCACACCCCTCACATCCCCCCACTGAACTTGGGAGTGGATCCGTGTTCTAAACACGAGGTGACTCTCGGTTTGCAATGGATCACAAGGCGCCGGGCTTTCCAGAGTCAGCAGGATAAAGAAGTCATTCTGTCTCGGACTCCCCCATCCCCCGGTAACGGCGGCTGGTGCCTTTAAATGAGCCGGGGCTGGCCGGGCCGGAGCCGCTATGGGGGGGGGGGGGGGGGGTGCCTGTGGCACTGCAGAAAGTGGGCCTGAGCCTCGAGGATGGCGGTGCTGCAGGGACCCGTCCAGGCTGCTATATGGCAAGCACTAAACCACTATGCCTACCGAGATGCGGTTTCCCCCGCAGAACGCCTTTATGCAGAAGTACACTCAGAAGAAGCCTTGTTCTTACTGGCGACCTGTTCTTACCGCTCAGGAAAGGCCTATAAAACATATAGACTCTTGAAAGGACACAGTTGTACTACCCCGCAATGCAAATGCCTGCTTGCGAAATGTTGTGTTGATCTCAGCAAGCTTGCAGAAGGGGATCAAATCTTATCGGGTGGAGTGTTTCATAAGCAGAAAAGCCACGATGATATTATCGTTCCTGAGTTTGGTGATTCAGCTCGCTTTCCCCTTCCATCGTCGGGACATGTATATTGCAAGACAGATCGGCTTACCAAAGGATCAGAATGTGACCAAAAGAGCCTTCGTTGAAATCCTTTCCTCTGGTGTCCCTTTGAATCATGATGTGAAATAGGGGGGAAAAGCCAGATCCTGACCAAACATTTTGATTCACCTCTCTAGAGAGCTTTAGCAACTGCCTGTCCAAGTGTTGCGCCACAACACTTGGACCTCGTCCTAGTTTATGTCACAGACAGCCCGAGACCGTTCTTACGGAAACACCCCAGGACACCGTCGAATGAAACGGATGGAATTTAGAATCTTCCAATTCAAAGTACTCCTTGAATACAGACTCCCCAGTGTCTTCTATCGATTCAGCTGTCCTTTCACCTGATACTGTCCCACTGGGAACAGGAACTTCCATATGATCTAAACAGGTTCAACATAAACCAAAAACTGGTCGAAGTTTATTAGGAGGACCAGCAGCTGTTAGTCCATTAACCCCAAGTGTTGGCATTTTGCCATTAGAAACCCCAAGTCCCGGAGACGGACCCTATTGACAAAACTGCACTGGTATGAGACACCGTCTGTCATTGACGTGCCATCCACCGGAGCCCCTTCAAAAAAGCCTGTTGCCAGAATCGGCCAAACCGGAACACCGTCTGTCTTCTCGCAGAGGGGAAAGAGCCGAAAGGTAACTCCAGTCCTTGCAAAAACACAAAGTTCTGGTCCGCCGACAAGGGCAACACCTCAGGTATTGAGCCCCACTATGGCATCTCCCCCAAATGCACCGCCTCGAAGAAATTCACGACTCTTGACTAGTGACAGCTCCACAACCGAGGAGAATAGGAGAAAATTAAAAATGAAGTTTCCACCTAAAATCCCAAACAGAAGAACCAAAAGTAAAACTAATAAAGGAGCAATAACTCCACCGAACATAAGTGATAGCCTGGAAGTGACAAAATTGGACTCTTCCGTCATTTCAGAAGGGAAAATAGCCGCAATCGCGCCTCAGATTCAGGCTTTTAATCTACAAAAAGCAGCAGCGGAAGGCTTGATGAGCCTTCTTCGTGAAAGGGGGAAAGGTTATTTAGCTTTGTGTTCTTACCACGGCAAAGAAGCTATCAGCATCTTGAGCCATCTAGCTTCTCACCACTGCAATACCGGTTGGGTACTGTGCCAAATCGGAAGGGCCTATTGTAAACTTTCAGAGTCCACGCAAGCTGAAAGACAATTCTCAGAGGTTAGGAGGATTGAGAATTACAGAGTCGAAGGCATGGAGATCTACTCTACAACACTTTGGCATCCTCCGAAAGAGGTTGCTCTTTCAGTTCTGTCCAAAGACTTCACAGACATGGATAAAAATTCGCCAGCCAGAGGCCTGGTGTGCTGCAGGGAACTGTTTCGGTCTGCAACGGGAACACGATATTGCGATTCAATTCTTCCAGAGAACTCTCGAAGTGGATCCAAATGATGCTTATGCCTATAGCGCATTAGGGCGTGAGCTTGTCTTCACTGAAGAACTGGACAAAGCATTAGCTTGTTTTCGAAATGCTATCAGGGTCAATCCTAGACATTGTAAGGCATGGTAAGTGCTAATGAAGCGTAAAGACAAAGCCCTATGGATGGTGCCGGTACTCGCTAATTTTTCTGGTTAGATAGCTCTTTATTGTCACGAATTTGGTGAAAAATACTTAGGGATGGTACCTACTGCTGAATAACTTCTAACTAAGATGTTTCCTTACGAAACGTATGTCTTGAACAAACTCTGAAGTGAACTCATGATCGTAGAATACCAGATCCTTATACTCAACAGTTTCAGTCTTCTAGCAAACTTTTGCAGACGCTGTAGTTGTCTTTGGTTTGTGTGTGTGTTTCTTTAGTTGTGTTCCTTGATTTGTTACTTTTTCTTCGAGCACCGAAGTGGTGATGGGGACAAGAAGTGCTTGGGAGACTGGAAAGGAATAGCATAGTTCACTTATTGGATAATAGAAAAATACATGGAAACAATTCACTAGCTGCTGCTTTTTGACAGTGTTCCAGTTTACGGAGTTACTATGAAGAACTTCACGTACCCTTTCATTTAGCAGTCTCTCTGTTTTACTCTTTTGTACTCGTGTATAAGTAGGCACATAGGAAATTACTACCTAGGTCATATTGTTATCAACTGAATAAGATAGGAAAAAGTGTGGTCCTACTTCTGCCTCAACACCATCCTCACCGTTGACATTTATTGCGTTTCTCTGGACTGACTTCATAGTTTAAACGTCAAGAGAAGGCCGGGCTCAGTGGCTCACGCCTGTCATCCCAGCACTTTGGGAGGCCGAGGCGGGCGGGTCACGAGGTCAAGAGATCGAGACCATCCGGGCCGACACGGTGAAACCCCGTCTCTATTAAAAGTATAAAGATTAGCTGGGCGTGGTGGCGGGCACCTGTAGTCCCAGCTACTCGGGAGGCTGAGGCAGGAGAATCGCTTGAACCCAGGGAGGTGGCGGTTGCAGTGAGCCGAGATCACACCATCGCACTCCAGCCTGGGCGACAGAGCGAGACGCCGTCTCAAGAGAAATAAATTAAAAAAAATAAATACATACATAAGTAAATATCAAGAGAAAGTATGATTCTGAAGTCATAACCCTGTGGTAGTTATTTTGTCAGATACGGTGATCTTTGGGGTGACTTATTACAGCAGTGGAGTTCTATCATTTGATTTGCTTCTAAATCTGAAGCATTATATTACTGAAACACTTTTTGATTTGCGAATATGTTGTTTAATGGATCGTATCTCATTTTGCTGTAGTAGTTACATTGCCCGAAAGATGGCCAAAAAGATAGTGCCAGCTACTGCTGACCAACGTAACAATCAACTTGCCAATACTGCCTTCTCTTCCGATAGCTACGTTCTCCGTCCTATTTTAAGAACTCAGTTCTTCATAAGACTTGTGTGGTTTTCGATTTTTTCCCAAGTCTGGTTGATCCTTGTGTTGTTATTTTTTTAAATGTGTATCGTCTGTTCAGCTATTTTGCAGGAGTCGCATTCTTAAAAAAATCTTAACCCTATCAAAAATTGTGTTTGTTTAAAGGAGGATTATTCAGATTGGCCAGCTTTTACTAGGAAGAGTGTAAATGCTGACGTATTTAGGTAGCTCTAAATACTGAGCAACTTTATTCTAACCACAAAATAGATAGCCTTTCTTTTGTCTTCACTTTCACTATCATTAGCACAGTGTTTAATACCGTTTCTTCATCTATAACACAATTATAATGATATAGGAAGCCACTCAAATAAGGCAGACATGTTGCGTTGCGCTTAAAAAAAAAAAAAAAAAGAAGTCTCTCTGTGGCACGGAATGAGGTGTGGCTCGAATCTAGAATCTCCAGTGAAAACCAATGAAAGAGGGTGAAACCCCGTGTCTACCAAAAAAAAAAAAAAAAAAAAAAAAAAAAATGAGCCGGCCATGGTGGCGCTGAGACAGGAGAATCACTTGAACCCAGGAGGCAGAGGTTCCAGTGAGCTGAGATCACGCCACTGCACTCCAGCCTGGGGGACAGAGCAAGACTCCATCTCAGAAACAAACAAACACACAAAGCCAGTCAAGGTGTTTAATTCGACGGTGTCAGGCTCAGGTCTCTTGACAGGATACATCCAGCACCCGGGGGAAACGTCGATGGGTGGGGTGGAATCTATTTTGTGGCCTCAAGGGAGGGTTTGAGAGGTAGTCCCGCAAGCGGTGATGGCCTAAGGAAGCCCCTCCGCCCAAGAAGCGATATTCATTTCTAGCCTGTAGCCACCCAAGAGGGAGAATCGGGCTCGCCACAGACCCCACAACCCCCAACCCACCCCACCCCCACCCCTCCCACCTCGTGAAATGGGCTCTCGCTCCGTCAGGCTCTAGTCACACCGTGTGGTTTTGGAACCTCCAGCGTGTGTGCGTGGGTTGCGTGGTGGGGTGGGGCCGGCTGTGGACAGAGGAGGGGATAAAGCGGCGGTGTCCCGCGGGTGCCCGGGACGTGGGGCGTGGGGCGTGGGTGGGGTGGCCAGAGCCTTGGGAACTCATCGCCTGTCGGGACGTCTCCCCTCCTGGTCCCCTCTCTGACCTACGCTCCACATCTTCGCCGTTCAGTGGGGACCTTGTGGGTGGAAGTCACCATCCCTTTGGACTTTAGCCGACGAAGGCCGGGCTCCCAAGAGTCTCCCCGGAGGCGGGGCCTTGGGCAGGCTCACAAGGATGCTGACGGTGACGGTTGGTGACGGTGATGTACTTCGGAGGCCTCGGGCCAATGCAGAGGTATCCATTTGACCTCGGTGGGACAGGTCAGCTTTGCGGAGTCCCGTGCGTCCTTCCAGAGACTCATCCAGCGCTAGCAAGCATGGTCCCGAGGATCCCAGCTCCCAGCAGAGGCACTTTTGGTCACACAGGATCCTGGGCAGGAAAGTTCTCAGCAGGCTTAGGCCTCCTAGCCAAAAAGCCAAAACCACTTCTGGGATTTTTTTCAAAGAGCCAGTGGTTCCACAAGGGGCCGTGGGTAGTTGTGGAAATGGAGAGAAGTGTTTGCACGTACATATTTGAGACAGAACGGACAGGGCTCGGTCACAGATCACTTAGGACACGGGCAGATGCACATTGAGAAAACTCTTCCGGCATCCTAGGGGAACAGAGGTACGATTTTTCGAGACAGTCGAGGGAGAAGCCACCCCAGATTTTAGGATTGGATCTTTATTCATATGTAGTTTCTATGAGGTATCCAAGTCCAGAAATCAACTCGCCAGTTCTGTACAGCATTCTGTAGGGAGATCAAATCTGGGATGTCAGAAGTGAAGAATTCAGGCCTTGGTAAGGGATGAGATTAGATGTACTTGAGCTTCTTTTGCAAAAAAAGAGAGGGCGGGAGATAGCGAGAGCCAGAGACCGAGACAGACAGACGGACAGACAGACAGAGAGAGAGAGAGAGAGAGAGACAGAGAGACAGAGACAGAGACAGACAGAGAGAGACAACGATACACAGAGAGAGAAAGACAGAAAGAGAGAGAGAGACAGATAAAGAGACAGACGGAGAGAGACAGATAAAGAGACAGACGGAGAAAGACAGAGATGGACAGAGACAGAGAGAAACAGAAAGAGAGAAACAGACAGGAAGGGAGAGAGACAGGCAGAGAGAGAGAGACAAACAGACAGGCAGACAGACAGGCAGAGAAAGAGAGTAAGACAGAAGGCAGACACACACACACACACACACACACACACATACACACACACACACACACCCCCACAGAGAGAGAGAGACAGAGAGAGAGACAGAGACAGACAGAGAGACAGAGAGAAAGAGACAGAGAGAGAAAGACAGACAGAGAGAAACAGACAGAAAGAGAGACACAGACAGAGACAGAGAAACAGCCGACAGGGGGGAGAGAGAGAGAGAGACAGACAGAGAGAGACAGACAGACAGACAGGCAGAGAAAGACAGTAAGACAGAAGACAGACACACAGAGAGAGAGAGAGAGACAGAGACAGAAAGAAAGACAAAGACAGAGAGAGAGAGAGAGAGAGAGAGAGAGAAACAGACAGGGGGAGAGAGAGAGAGAGACAGACAGACAGGGAGAGAGAGAGAGAGAGAGACTAAGACAGAAGACAGACACAGTGAGAGAGACAGAGACAGAGAGAAGGAAAGACAAAGACAGACAGACAAAGAGACAGACAGAGAAAGACAGAGACGGACAGAGAGACAGAGAGAAACAGAAAGAGAGAGAGAGACACACAGAGAGAGAGAGTGAGAGAGACAGGCAGGCAGAGAGAGAGAGTAAGACAGAAGACAGAGTGAGAGAGACAGGCAGAGAGAGACAGAGAGAAGGAAAGAGAGAGACAGTCAGAGAAAGACAGAGACGGAGAGAGAGAAACAGAAAGAGAGAGAGAGACAGAGACAGAGAGAAACATACAGACAGGGAGAGAGAGAGAGAGAGAGAGAGAGACCGACAGACAGACAGAGAAAGGGAGTAAGACAGAAGACAGACACAGTGAGAGAGACAGGCAGAGAGAGAGAGAGAGAGAGAGGCAGAGAGAGAGAAACAGACAGGCAGAGAGAGAGAGACACAGAGAGAGAGAGAGAGAGAAGACAGACAGAGAAAGAGAGAGACAGAGACAGACAGAGAGACAGAGAGAGGGGGAGGAAGGGCGTGCTCAAGAAATAATCACACATATTTTATAATGCTTTTGATCCCATAAACGGTGGCCGGGGTATACTTTGAAAACAACGACAACGACAACAACAACGACAACGACAACAGCAACGACGACAACAACAACAACAACAACAACAGCAACAAGAGCAGCAGCAGCATTCGCCTACGGATTTCTAGAAAATAAGATGTCATGATGAAGGATAGTAAACATCAACCGGCTCTCACTGCACGTTGAGAGAGTCACAAAAGCACTAGTTCACAACAGGAAAAAACGGCAGCTAACGTGTCTTGGGGAAAATAGACGTCTTCCTGAAAACTGGGGATTTCTACTTCACCTGAAAAGAAAGACATACGAGAAAGGAAAAACACGAACAAAACAAAACAGAACGAAACAAAACAAGCCAACAAACACGGGCCAAGGCGCCGTCCCTGGAAATCTTAAGTGAGCAAAGTTATTAGTTTTCAGAAAGCGTTTCTATTTTGGGCAAGTACTGAGAAGGCCCAGACTAGAGCCGTGGCGCCCTTCGCATTGTGAAACTCTGCTGGCCGGAGGGCGGAGAAACTAAAACATCGTGATAAAAGGTGACCGAGACCCAGCCAGGGTGAAGCTTTCCTAGGGAGGGAGGCCTGAGGCGGGAAGCAGCGGGGGGAAAAGCCTCACAACTGCAGACCCGCCCGCTTGCCCACGCGGGTCAAGGGGCTATGCCATCGGCCCAAGCTGCCTCCGGGGAAGTGGGACCGTGCCGCCCCCATCTTCAAAAACGGTGGCCCCCGAGTGAGGCCTGACGCCCACCGATGCAAATGTCAGCCTGGCAAGAATGAGATCGCCGGCAAGGGGTGGGGGAAGGGGAGAGAAGACGGAGGCACACCGGGGTGGCTCTGGAAGGTTTCCAAGCAGGGTGTTGGGAGGCGGGGGGGGGGGGGTGTTTGGGGGAAACCCACCTAACCGACTCACTAAATTAAGGTGAAGGGACGTGGGTAGTGGGGGGAGCCGGGGGGCAACTTGAAAATTAAACTGACCCTTCCCAAAGCCCAAGTAGAAGAGTCTAGGCGCCAAAACACAAAGAAAAGTAAAGCGCCGATCAAAGAACAATAGGGCCCCCGCCAGGGCGGAGGTTCCCTAGGCGAGGTTCCCTAGGCAACGAGGGAGAGAGGGAGGGGCCTCCAGAAGGGAGAGAGAGAAACCCGTTGCCCCAGGCTCGGTGAAGTCGGCGAGACCTCCCTCCGTGTCACGTCGACTTTCAATAACAGTGGCCGCTAGGTGATGCCCGAAGACAACCGATGCCTGCCTGCAAATGTCCGTCAGCAGGGAAAAGAATTAATGAATTAATTAATTTCCTTATTTATTTAGAGACCGAGTCTCACTCACTCTACAGCCTGGGCCGTAGTGCAGTGGCGCGATCTCGGCTCCCTGCAGCCTCCGCCTCCTTGGTTCAAGCGATTCTCCCGCCTCAGCCTCCCGAGGAGCTGGCATTACAGGGGCCTGCCCCACCGCTCCCGACTCAGCTTTGTATTTTTAGTAGAGACGGGGTTTCGCCGTGTTGCGTCCGGCCTTCACAGTTTATGTTGAAGTCGAGGAGCTTATCGGGGAAATAGGAGAAGTACGGACGCCACACGTGACCGAGAGAAAAGTCTGAAAATGCCCCTCGCATCCAAGCGGGGACCCGGCCTCGACCTCCCGAAATCGTACACCGAGTGGGGAAGCCCAGCAAGGCCCGCCTGTCTAGATTCCTCTCGGCCTCTCTAAGCACCGAAGCACGCGCTTCTCACTCTCGTGGAAGGGGCAGGGCCCTACCCGGCACGGGGGTGTCTGACAGACTGACAGAGAAAGAGACAGACATAGAAAGACAGAGATGGACAGCGAGAGATAGAGAGAAACAGACAGAAAGAGAAAGAGAGAGAGACAGAGACAGAGAGAGAGAGACAGACAGACAGACAGGGAGGGAGAAAGACAGAGAGAGAGAGAGACAGACAGACAGACAGACAGACAGAGAGAGAAACAGACAGAAAGAGAGAGAGAGAGATGGAGAGAGAGTGAGTGAGAGAGAGAGAGAGAGATATGGAGGGAGAGAGACAGACAGAGAGAGAAACAGACAGAAAGAGAGAGAGAGACGGAGAGAGAGTGAGTGAGAGAGAGAGAGAGAGAGACAGACGTGGAGGGAGAGAGACAGACAGACAGACAGGCAGGCAGAGAAAGAGAGTAAGACAGAAGACAGACACAGTGAGAGAGACAGGCAGAGAGAGAGAGAGACAGAGACAGAGAGAGAGAAAGAGAAAGAGACAGACAGAGATGGACAGAGAGACAGAGACAGAGAGAGAAACAGACAGACAGGGAGGGAGGGAGGGACGGAGACAGGCAGAGAGAGAGAGACAGGCAGACAGCCAGAGAAAGAGAGTAAGACAGAAGATAGGCACAGACAGAGAGACAGACACAGAGAGAGACAGAGAGACAGAGAAAAAGAAAGAGAGAGACAGACAGACAGAGAAAGAGACAGACAGAGAGAGAAAGAGAGAAACAGACAGAAAGAGAGAGAGAGAGAGAGAGAGAGAGAGAAACAGAAAGGGAGGGAGAGAGAGGGAGAGACAGACAGACAGACGGACAGGCAGAGAAGGAGAGTAAGACAGAAGACAGACACACACAGTGAGAGAGACAGACAGAGAGAGAGAGAGGCAGAGACAGAGACAGAGAGAAAGAGAGAGACAGACATAGAAAGACAGAGATGGACAGAGAGACAGAGAGAAACACACAGAAAGAGAGAGAGAGAGAGAGAAAGAGAAAGGGAGGGAGAGAGACAGAGAGAGAGAGAGAGACACAGACAGACAGACAGGCAGGCAGGCAGGCAAGGAAACAGAGTAAGACAGAAGATAGGAACAGAGAGAGAGAGAGAGAGACAGAGAGACGCAGAAAAAGAAAGAGAGAGGCAGACAGACAGAGAAAGACAGAGACAGACAGAGAGAAACAGGCATAAAGAGAGAGAGAGAAACAGACAGGAAGGGAGAGAGAGAGAGAGACAGAGAGAGAAAGAGAATAAGACAGAAGACAGACACAGTGAGAGAGGCAGAGAGAGAGAGAGAGACAGAGACAGAGAGAAAGAGACAGACAGACAGAGAAAGAGACAGACAGAGAAAGACAGAGAGAGAAAGAGAGAAACAGGCAGAGAGAGAGAGAGCTAGCGAGAGAGAAACAGAAAGGGAGGGAGAGAGAGAGAGAGACAGACAGATGGACAGGCAGAGAAGGAGAGTAAGACAGAAGACAGACACAGTGAGAGAGACAAGGAGAGAGAGAGAGAGAGACAGAGACAGAGACAGAGACAGACAGAAAGAAAGAGAGAGACAGACAGACAGAAAAAGACAGAGATGGACAGAGAGAGACAGAGAAACAGAGAGAAAGAGAGAAAGACAGAGAGAGCGAGAGAGGGAGAGAGAGAGAAACAGAAAGGCAGGGAGAGAGACAGACAGATAGACAGGCAGAGAAAGAGAGTAAGACAGAAGATAGGCACAGAGAGAGAGACAGAGAGACACAGAAAGAGAAAGAGAGAGGCAGACAGACAGAGAAAGGGACAGACAGAGAAAGACAGAGACAGAGAGAGAGAGAGAGAGAGAGAAACAGACAGAAAGAGAGAGGGACAGGGAGAGAGAGAGACAGACAGACAGACGGACAGGCAGAGAAGGAGAGTAAGACAAAAGATACACACAGAGAGGGAGAGACAGAGAGAGAGAGAGACAGAGACAGAGACAGAGAGAATGAAACAGACAGAGAGAGACAGTGAGAAACAGACAGAAAGAGAGGGAGACAGAGAGAAACAGACAGGGAGGGGGGAGAGAGAGAGAGAGAGAAGCAGAAAGGGAGGGAGAGACAGAGAGAGACAGACAGACAGGCAGAGAAAGAGAGTAAGACAGAAGATAGGCACAGAGAGAGAGAGAGACAGACAGAGAGACACAGAAAAAGAAAGAGAGGGGCAGACAGACAGAGAAAGAGACAGATAGAGAAAGAGAGAGGCAGACAGAGAGAGACAGAAACAGACAGAAAGAGAGAGAGAGAAACAGACAGGGAGGGAGTGAGAGAGAGACAGACGGGGAGAGAAAGAGAGTAAGATAGAAGACAGACACAGTGAGACAGGCAGAGAGGGAGAGAGAGGGACAAAGACAGAGACAGAAAGAAAGAAAGAGACAGACAGACAGACAGAGAAAGAGACACAGAGAGAAAGACAGAGATGAACAGAGAGAGACAGAGAGAAACAGACAGAGAGAAGGTCCTAGCCCAGTAGCGATACAGTGCCTTTTCTTTCATTTTCTCTTTCTTTTCTTTTTGTCTTTCTTTTATGTATGTATGTATGTATGTATGTATGTATGTATGTATGTATGTATGTATTTATCTGGAGACCGGGTCTCACTCTGTCACCCAGGCTGTAGTGCAGTGGCACGATCTTGGGTCACTGCAACCTCCGCCTGCCAGGTTCAAGCAATTCTTCCGCCTCAGCCTCCCGAGTAGCTGGGGTTACAGGTGCCTGCCCCACGGCGCCTGACTCAATTTCGTATTTTCAGTAGAGACCGGGGTTTCACCACGTTGGCCGGGCTGGTCTCGAACTCCTGACCTCGGGATGACAGACGTGAGCCACTGCGTTCAGTGTACAGTGCCATTTCTTAGAAATCACTCCTCACGGGAACACACACTTATGGGTGACGTGTAGAGATTTTAGTTAGTTAGTTAGTTATTATGTGCGCGGGGAGGTGAGGAGACGGAGTTTGGCTCTTGCTGCCCAGGCTACAGTGCAATGGCCTAGGGGACTCAAGGAGTCAACCTATGGCAAAGAGGACACGTCATTCTGAGCGTAAGGGCCGCAGCGAAAGGTGGCAGGGCCCGCGCTTTTAAAGGCTGAAATCCCGGCGGCTCAGGCCTGTCGTCCCAGCACTTTGGGAGGCCCAGGAAGGCGGATCATTTGTGGTCAGGAGTTCGAGACCAGCGTGGCCAACGTGGAGAAACCCCGTCTCTACTAAAAATAGAACGATGAGCCGGCCGTCATGGTGCGCACCTGTAATCCCAGCTACCGAAGAAGAATCACTGGAACCCGGGAAGCAGAGGTTTCAGTGAGCCGAGAGAGCGCCACCGCACCGCAGCCTGGGTGACAGAGCGAGAGAGACTCAGTCCAAAAAAAAGAAAGAAAAGAAGAAGAAGAAAAAAAAGAACGGGCCCAAATACTGCATTGTCGCTCAACGTTCTCCCAAAAGGCCAGAAACCTCCGACTCAGGTCAAGGAGGTGGTGTTTGGTTTTACTTCTCTCTCTCTCTCTCTCTCTCTCTCTCTCTCTCTCTCTCTCTCTCTCTCTCTCTCCCCCCCCCTCCCCATCTCTCTCTCTCTCTCTCTCTCCTCTCTTCTCCCCCCGAACTTTTATTTGTCCTTCAAGCATACATGAGCAAGATTGTGACATAGGTAAAGTTGTGACGGGGGTGTTCAGTGTGCAGATGATTTCATCACCCGGGTAGTCAGTGCTGTGTCCGACAGTATTCGTGTTTTGTTTTCTTCCTGAAGCTGTCTCTCCTTCCACCCCTCCTCCCTCAAGCAGGCTTCCGCGTCCCCGGTCCCCCTCGTTCTGCCCATGCAAGAACTGTCATCTGTAAGTTCCCACTTCTAGATGAGAACACGCGGTATTTAGCCGATCTTTGCTTTCATCTTCGGTGGTGGCGGTGAAAGAGGCATGACACTAAATCGACCCTTAGGACGCCGTTTATGTTGAAGTCGAGGAGCTTATCGGGGAAATAGGAGAAGTACGGACGCCACACGTGGCCGAGAGAAAAGTCTGAAAATGCCCCTCGCATCCAAGCGGGGACCCGGCCTCGACCTCCCGAAATCATACACCGAGTGGGGAAGCCCAGCAAGGCCCGCCTGTCTAGATTCCTCTCGGCCTCTCTAAGCACCGAAGCACGCGCTTCTCACTTTCATGGGAGGGGCAGGGCCCTACCCGGCACGGGGGTGTCTGACAGACTGACAGAGAAAGAGACAGACATAGAAAGACAGAGATGGACAGCGAGAGATAGAGTGAAACAGACAGACAGAGAGAGAGAGAGAGAGAGAGAAACAGACAGGGAGGGAGAAAGACAAACAGAGAGAGAGACAGACAGACAGAAAGACAGAGACAGAGAGAAACAGACAGAAAGAGAGAGAGACGGAGAGAGAGTGAGTGTGAGAGAGAGAGAGACATGGAGGGAGAGAGACAGACAGACAGACAGACAGACAGACAGACAGACAGGCAGGCAGAGAAAGAGAGTAAGACAGAAGACCGACACAGTGAGAGAGAAAGGCAGAGAGAGAGAGAGAGAGAGACAGAGAGAGACAGAGAGAAAGAAAGAGAGAGAAAGAGAAAGAGACAGACAGAAATGGACAGAGAGAGAAACAGACAGACAGGGAGGGAGGGACGGAGACAGGCAGAGAGAGAGAGACAGGCAGTCAGCCAGAGAAAGAGAGTAAGACAGAAGATAGGCACAGACAGAGAGACAGGCACAGAGAGAGACAGAGAGACAGAGAAAAAGAAAGAGAGAGACAGACAGACAGAGAAAGAGACAGAGAAAGACAGAGACAGACAGAGAGAGAAAGAGAGAAACAGACAGAAAGAGAGAGAGAGAGAGAGAAACAGAAAGGGAGGGAGAGAGAGGGAGAGACAGACAGACAGATGGACAGGCAGAGAAGGAGAGTAAGACAGAAGACAGACACACACAGTGAGAGAGACAGACAGAGAGAGAGAGAGAGGCAGAGACAGAGACAGGAGAAAGAGAGAGACAGACAGAGAAAGACAGAGACGGACAGAGAGACAGAGAGAAACAGATAGAAAGAGAGAGAGACAGAGAGAGAGAGAGGCAGAGACAGAGACAGGGAGAAAGAGAGAGACAGACAGAGAAAGACAGAGATGGACAGAGAGACAGAGAGAAACAGACAGAAAGAGAGAGAGACAGAGAGAGAGAGAGAGAGACAGACAGACAGGCAGGCAGAGAAACAGAGTAAGACGGAAGATAGGCACAGAGAGAGAGACAGAGAGACGCAGAAAAAGAAAGAGAGAGGCAGACAGACAGAGAAAGACGGAGACAGGCAGAGAGAAACAGAAAGAGAGAGAGAGAGAAAGAGACAGGAAGGGAGAGAGAGAGACACACAGACAGAGAAAGAGAATAAGACAGAAGACAGACACAGTGAGACAGGCAGAGAGAGAGAGACAGAGAGAGAGAGAGACAGAGACAGAGACAGAGAGAAGGAGACAGACAGACAGAGAGAGAGAGAGACAGACAGAGAGAGAAAGAGAGAAAAAAGGCAGAGAGAGAGAGAGAGAGCGAGAGAGAAACAGAAAGGGAGGGAGAGAGAGAGAGAGACAGATAGACAGACGGACAGGCAGAGAAGGAGAGTAAGACAGAGGACAGACACAGTGAGAGAGACAAGCAGAGAGAGAGAGAGAGAGAGAGAGAGACAGAGAGAGAGAGACAGAGACAGACAGAAAGAAAGAGAGAGGCAGACAGACAGAAAAAGACAGAGACGGACACAGAGAGACAGAGAAACAGAGAGAAAGAGAGAAAGACAGAGAGAGCGAGAGAGGGAGAGAGAGAGAGAAACAGAAAGGCAGGGAGAGAGACAGAGAGAGACAGACAGACAGACAGACAGGCAGGCAGAGAAAGAGAGTAAGACAGAAGATAGGCACAGAGAGAGAGACAGAGAGACACAGAAAGAGAAAGAAAGAGAGAGGCAGACAGACAGAGAAAGACAGAGACAGAGAGAGAGAGAGGAACAGACAGAAAGAGAGAGGGACAGAGAGAGAGAGAGAGAGACAGAAAGGGAGAGAGAGACAGACAGACAGACAGACAGACGGACAGGCAGAGAAGGAGAGTAAGACAGAAGATACACACAGAGAGTGAGAGACAGAGAGAGAGAGAGAGAGAGAGACAGACAGAGAGAACGAAAGAGACAGACAGAGAGAGAGAGAGATGGACAGAGAGAGACAGTGAGAAACAGACAGAAAGAGAGAGAGACAGAGAGAAACAGACAGGGAGAGGGGGAGAGAGAGAGAGAAACAGAAAGGGAGGGAGAGACAGACAGACAGGCAGAGAAAGAGAGTAAGACAGAAGATAGGCACAGAGAGAGAGAGAGACAGACAGACAGAGAAAGAGAGAGAGAGAGAGAGAGAGAGAGACCGACAGAGAGACACAGAAAAAGAGAGAGGCAGACAGACAGAGAAAGAGACAGACAGAGAAAGACATAGACAGACAGAGAGAGACAGAAACAGACAGAAAGAGAGAGAGAGAAACAGACAGGGAGGGAGAGAGAGAGAGACAGACGGGGAGAGAAAGAGAGTAAGACAGAAGACAGACACAGTGAGACAGGCAGAGAGGGAGAGAGAGAGACAAAGACAGAGACAGAGACAGAGAGAAAGAAAGAGACAGACAGACAGAGAAAGAGACACAGAGAGAAAGACAGAGACGAACAGAGAGAAACAGACAGAGAGAAGGCCCTAGCCCAGTAGCAATACAGTGCCTTTTCTTTCATTTTCTCTTTCTTTTCTTTTCTTTTTTTCTTTCTTGTATATCTGTATGTATGTATGTATGTATGTATGTATGTGTGTGTGTGTGTGTGTGTGTGTGTGTGTATGTATGTATGTATGTATGTATTTATTTATGTACGTATTTATCTGGAGACCGGGTCTCACTCTGTCGCCAAGGCTGTAGTGCAGTGGTGCGATCTTGGGTCACTGCAACCTCCGCCTGCCAGGTTCAAGCAATTCTTCCGCCCCAGCCTCCTGAGTAGCTGGGGTTACAGGTGCCTGCCCCACGGCGCCTGACTCAATTTCGTATTTTCAGTAGAGACGGGGTTTCACCACGTTGGCCGGGCTGGTCTCGAACTCCTGACCTCGGGATGACAGACGTGAGCCACTGCGTTTAGTGTACAGTGCCATTTCTTAGAAATCACTCCTCACGGGAACACACACTTAGAGGTGACGTGTAGAGATTTTATTTATTTAGTTAGTTTAGTTAGTTAGTTTGTTAGTTAGTTAGTTAGTTATTATGTGCACGGGGAGGTGGGGGGACGGAGTTTGGCTCTTGCTGCCCAGGCTACAGTGCAATGGCCTAGGGGACTCAAGGAGTCAACCTATGGCAGAGAGGACACGTCATTCTGAGCGTAAGGGCCGCAGCGAAAGGTGGCAGGGCCCGCGCTTTTAAAGGCTGAAATCCCGGCGGCTCAGGCCTGTCGTTTCCAGCACTTTGGGAGGCCCAGGAAGGCGGATCATTTGAGGTCAGGAGTTCGAGACCAGCGTGGCCAACGTGGAGAAACCCCGTCTCTACTGAAAATAGGAATATGAGCCGGCCGTCATGGTGTGCGCCTGTAATCCCAGCTACCGAAGAAGAATCACTGGAACCCGGGAAGCAGAGGTTTCAGTGAGCCGAGAGAGCGCCACCGCACCGCAGCCTGGGTGACAGAGCGAGAGAGACTCAGTCCAAAAAAAAAAAAGAAAGAAAAGAAGAAGAAGAAGAAAAAAGAACGGGCCCAAATACTGCATTGTCGCTCAACGTTCTCCCAAAAGGCCAGAAACCCCCTGACTCAGGTCAAGGAGGTGGTGTTTCGTTTTCTCTCTCCCTCCTCTCTCTCTCTCTCTCTCTCTGTCTCTCTCTGTCTCTCTCTCTCTCTCTCTCTCCTCTCTCCCCCCTAACTTTTATTTGTCGTTCAAGCATACATGTGCAAGATTGTGACATAGGTAAACTTGTGACGGGGGTGTTCAGTGTGCAGATGATTTCATCACCCGGGTAGTCAGTGCTGTGTCCGACAGTATTCGTGTTTTGTTTTTTCCTGAAGCTGTCTCTCCTTCCACCCCTCCTCCCTCAAGCAGGCTTCCGCGTCCCCGGTCCCCCTCGTTCTGCCCATGCAAGAACTGTCATTTGTAAGTTCCCACTTCTAGATGAGAACACGCGGTATTTAGCCGATCCTTGCTGTCATCTTCGGTGGTGGTGGTGGTGAAAGAGGCATGACACTAAATCGACCCTTAGGACGCTCCCCTCCGTCCCCACCCCGCACCCCCTCCCCACACACACCCTCATTCCCGCACCCCCTCCTCAAACGCAAGAAAGGAAGAAATGAAAGTAAGAGATGAGCCTGCAAGGCGGTGGAGGCGGGGGATCTCAGAGGGCGAGCAAGCGATGGCGGTCGGGGGATGTGTCGGCTGAGGTATCAAAAATAGGGGACCCAGTTTTCAGCCCCAACACACCCCCTAATCCTCAGCCGCAGCCAGCCTCTGGGTGGGGTTGCGCCTGTCAAAGCTTCCGAATGGAGAGAAGCCCAAGGCTACGGAAGGCATCAGCTCCAACTCCAGGAAGGGAATAAGGCTCTGTGCATACGAATGGGGCTTTGAAAGGCGTTGCCGCGGCTTCCAAAGCGATGCGCTGTGCCTCGCCTCGCCTCGCCCCGCCCCGCCCAGAGCGAGACTCCGTCTGAAAATAAGTACACAAATAAATCATAAGATAATTCATCAATAAATGAAAGAAAGAAAGAAAGAAAGAAAGAAAGAAAGAAAGAAAGAAAGAAAGAAAGGATCAGTAGAGCGATGGTGGTCGTGAATCATTCCCCGGAGTCCAGGCGCAGTGGCTCACGCCCGTCACGCCAGCACTTTGAGACGCCGGGCAGGAGGGTTGCAAAGAAATGATGAGACCCCGTCTGTGGGAAAACATTTAAAAATGAAGGCCGGGCGCGGTGGCTCACGCCTGTCATCCCAGCACTTCCGGAGGCCGGGGAGGGCGGATCACCTGAGGTCGGGAGTTCGAAACCAGCCCGATCGACATGGAGAAGCCCCGTCTCCACTAAAAATACGAAATCAGCCAGACGTGGCAGCGCATGCCCGCAATCCCGGCTACTCAGGAGGCCGATGCAGGAGAATCGCTTGAAACCGGGAGGCAGAGGTTGCGGTGAGCCAAGATCGCGCCACCGCACTGCAGTCTAGGCCACGAGAGTGAAACTCTGTCTCGGGGGAAAAAAAAACAATTAAAAACGGTGTGGGCACAGTGGCGCGTGCCCGCGGTCCCAGGCTCTGTACTCTGCAGGCTGAGGTGGAAGGATCGCTCGAGTCCAGGAGCGTCCACGCTGCAGGGAGTGAGTTACGACGGCACCACTGCCGGGGTGACGGAGCGAGATGCCGTCTCTAAATCAGTCAATGAGATCACTGGAAGGCGCTCTCTGCGTCTCACTTTCCAAGAGGGTCTCTTTGGGCCAAGCAGGCATGGTGCCTCACGCCAGTCATCCCAGCACTTTGGGAGGCTGAGGCGGGAGGAAAGAAGGAAGGGAGGAAGGGAGGAAAGAAGAAAAGAAGAAAGGCAGGAAGGCAGGAAAGAAAGAGGGGAAGAGAGAAAAAGAAAGAAAGAAAGAAAGAAAGAAAGAAAGAAAGAAAGAAAGAAAAGAGAAGCAAAAAGAAGAAAAGAGAAGGGAAGAAAAGAAAAGCAAATGGGGAAGGGGCATATCTCCTTGACCGGTGACTGCCCAGGATACAGTGGGTCACGGCCGACCGAAGCCTCGACCTGTGGGGCCTCAAGTGATCTTCTCCTCGTCTCAGCCTCCCGAGTAGCCGCGACTACAGGCGGCCATCACCGCGCACAACTCATCTTATAATAACATCATGATTCTCTCGAGACGGGGTCTCGCTCCGTCATCCAGGCCGCATCGCCACGGCACGATCTCAGCTCATCGCAACCTCGGCCTCCCCGGTTGGAACAAGTCGCCCGCCCCAGTCTCCCGAGCGGTCGTGATTCCAAGCCCACGCCACCAGGCCCGGCTAATCGTTCTATTTTTCAGAGAGACGGGGTTTCGCCACGTCGGCCAGCCTGGTCTCGAACTCCCGGCCCCAAGCGATCCACCCGCCTCGGCCTCCCAAAGTGCCGGAGTGACAGGCGTGAGCTAGCGTGCCCGGCCCAGATCATCTTTTTCATAAATTGTAGAGAAGGGGTTTCGTCAGCCAACGGGTGGAGGGTGGGGCGGGTTTTACTCAGCCTGCGTACTGTGAAAAGGGGAAGTGAGTGTGCTCTGTGAACTAGATATGGAAATTGTGTGTGTGTGTGCGCGCGTGCGCGTGCGAGAGAGAGAGAGAGAGAGAGACCAATCCCACCACGAGGACCCGGAAATAGTGTTTGATCTGTGTCCCTGCCTAGTCACCTGTCTTGTGTGTCGATGACTGAGGATTCCACAAATGAAGGTCAGCGGTATCTATTGAGCTGTTTCTCCCTCTCGTGCGTCTCATCTGTGTGCTGGAGAAAGGGAAGAGAAGAGGTTCCGATGGGAAGTTGTCTTCACGCCTGAGGCAGCTGAAGGCAGACCGAAGGGAAGGAGGGCATCCTAGGTGACATTTCCATACCCACGCACCCTTTACAATGCTGGGGCTGCCAGTCCACCCTGTACGTCAACCCACCCCCAAGAACAGCACGGTCCGGGGTGGTCCAGTCTGATCCCAACCGGCCCACCCGGGGCATCCGGTGGAAGTCTTCGCCGGAGGATCCGAAGGCAGCATCAACGCGGTTCCCCTGGGGTCGCCCGGCAAAGGCCAGCTGGGGGAGGGTAGCGGGACGTGACGGGGGGGTGGGGGTCGCATCCGCCTCAGAGCTCCCTGGAAGGTGGCAGGTAGCCGGTGGGGCACGCCGAGCCAGAGACGTCCGGCAGGATATAGATCTGGAAGGCGTGTCAGTCCTCTCCCATACCTCTCCTATGGAAAATGCCAGGGCGGCGGTGGGAGCCTCGGCTGGGGGAGAAGCGGGGACAAGGGGGAGAGGGAAGGAGGCCCTCGGGAGGTTTCGGCACCGAAAACCCACTCAGCCAAGCTCCCTCCGTGTTTCCGGGTCCAAGGTACACCCCGGGAGACGGCAAGAGAAACGTTCACACCGTGCTTTCCGTCTTCGTGTTTATTTCTTTCATCTTTTCCATTTTACGAGAGATGCTCATTTCAACAACCAGACGGCGGATGTGACGGGAGAAGCGTCAAGGCCAGGAGTTTGAGACCAGCGTGAGCAACAGAGCAACACAAGTAGGAGAGCCCAGCTGAAAGAAATGAAAGAGGAGGAGGAGGAGGAGGAGGAGGAGGAGGAGGAGGACGACAAGGGGGGGTGGGGGGGGGAGGAGAAGGAAAGAAAAGAAAAGAAAAAAAAAGAAAAAGGAAAACAACCACCACCAAGAAAGTTAAGATTCTCCAACGGTCGGAAGTTGAAGACCAGCCTGACCAAGATGGAGAAACCCCATCTGTACTAAAAATAGAAAAATTAGCCGGGCACGATGGCTCATCTCTGTCATTCCAGCTACTCGGGAAGGCTGAGGCAGGAGAATCACTTGAACCTGGGAGGCGGAGGGTGCGGTGAGCCGAGAGCCGCCATCGTACTCCACCCTGGGCGACAAGAGTGAAACTCCGTCTAAAGAGAATAAAAAGAAAGAACGAAAAGGCGGATCGGTGAGATGCGTCTGAAAATTTTCTTCGTTCGCAGTCCCCGTATTAAAAACGGAAAGAACCGACCCACGACAAACACGACCAGAGCGTACCGTGCCCACGCGTGTCATCACAGCACTCCGGGAGGCCGATGCGGGAGGATCTCTGGAGCCTAAAAGTTCGAGATCACCTCGACACGTGAGATGACGCCTACAATAATAATAATCATAGAAGTTTGAAAAGAGACCACGTGTGCCCAGAGCATGGACAATAAAGCGAGAGCACATCCGTACTAAAAAGAAGACGATTGATAGGCAGGCAGGCAGGCAGGCAGGCAGGCAGGCAGGCAGGCAGGCAGGCAGGCAGGCAGGCAGGCAAATGTAGAAGGAGCCAGGCGCAGCGTCTCACGCCTGTAATAGCAGCAGTGTGGGCGGCCGAGGCAGGCAGGCGGATTGCTTGAGGACAGGAGTTCGAGACCAGCGTGGGCAACATGATAGAACCCCGAAACCCATCTCACTCACATACATACATACATACGTACATACATAGATATACACACACACACACACACACACACACACACACACACACACACATACCTACCTACGGAAAACATGAGAAACAACATAAAAGTCAGCCGGTGTGGTGGTGCGCGCCTGTAGTCTCAGGTAATGGGGATGGGAGGGATCAGAGGCAGAACGACCGTTTGGTCGGTCCAAAGCGTTGAGGTTGGGGTGATCCTGGGCGGCAGAGACAGAGGAAGACCCTGCCAGTAAGGGAGGGAAGGAAGGAAGGAAGGAAGGAAGGAAGGAAGGAAGGAAGGAAGGAAGGAAATAAACAGGCAAGCAGGCAAGCAAACGATGAACGTGACAATGACACAGAAGAACCCATGAGAATAAACGAGCAAATAACAGGGTATGAATGAAGCTAAAAGGCAATTGAGATCGCAATCAATCGTTTTCTCTGCACCCCACCCCACCCCACCCCACCCCACCCCACCCCACCCCACCCCACCGCAGCCCACGTAAGCTGGAGTGGAAGTGTGCGATCACAGCCCACGTTAACCTCTCCCTCCCGGGCTTAAGAGATCCCTGTAGTCCCAGCTATTTGGGAGGCTGAGGTCACCAGAGCGCAGAGACAGAAGACCAGGCGGGCCGGCCCCAAAAGAAAAGAAAATAAATAAACGAAAATTATTAATAAATAATGAATGAAGGAAGGGAGGAAGGATATACATACACGTGTATGTAAATGAAATGGGGCTTCGATACATATTCATCCATTAAAAGTAACATAATATAAACGTATTAATTATGGAAATATCATTTACATAGTTTTATCACTACGGGGTGTGTGTGTGTGTGTGTGTGTGTGTGTGTGTGTGTATGTGTAGATGTATGTTCATACACGGCAGCGTTCAGAAAATAAGATTGAAAAAAGGAAGGAATCGGCCGGGCATGGTGGCTCACATCTGTACTCCCAGCAGTCTTTGGGAGGCCGAGGCGGGCGGATCACTAGGTCGGGAGTTCGAGACCAGCCCGGCCAAAATGGTGAAATTACGTCTTTACTCGAAATAGAAAACTTGCTGTTTGCTTGAACCGTGGAGGCAGAGGCAGCAGCAGCAGCGAGCCGAGAAGGCACCAAGGAGGGAGGGAGGGGAGAGAGACAGAGAGAGAGAGAGAGAGAGAGAGAGAGAGAGAAAGAAAGAAAGAAAGAAAGAAAGAAAGAAAGAAAGAAAGAAAACGCAAGGCAAAACCAAAAAGCAAAAAAGGAGGAAGCATTACTGGCTGACGGCAGCAGTGACTCCCTCTTAAAAGTCCCGCGGACGCAAACTCGCAGTGGGGCTGAAAAAAATGTAGGAGAGGGAGTTCCGCGTGGTCCCAGCTCCACCGCGGGCCGAGGCCGGTGGAGGTCGCCGGCGCGTGAACCGGAGTCGACGCCCTCGCGTCGGTGCGCCGCAGCGTCCGGCGGCCGCCTGCTGGTCGACCCGGGACACGTGCAGGCGCCGGCTAAGTCCAGAGCTCGCGGGCGGCAGCTGGTCGACCCCGGAGGTGCCGACCGAGACGGGGACGCTCCGGTTGCGGTTCGTCCCGACGGGCACTCTTACACGCCGCTCGGTGGAGAAGGCCCGCCGGTCGACCCGGGACACGGCGAGACAGCGGCTAAGTCTCAAGAGCCGAGAAGGCACCAAGGAAGGGGAGAGAGGGAGGGAGGGGGAGAGAGAGAGAGAGAGAGAGAGACAGAGAGAGACAGAGAGAAAGAGAGAGAGAGAGAGGGCGAGAGCGAGAGACAGAGAGAGAGAGAGAGAGAGAAAGAGAAAGAGAAAGAAAACGAGCGAGGGAGAGAGCGAGAGAGCGAGAGCGAGAGCGAGAAAGAAAGAAAGAAAGAAAGAAAGAAAGAAAGAAAGAAAGAAAAAAAAAAAAAAAAAAAAAAGGCAAGACAAAACCTAAAAGCAAAAAAGGAGGAAGCAGTACTGGCTGACGGCAGCAGTGACTCCCTCTTAAAAGTCCCGCGGACGCAAACTCGCAGTGGGGCTGAAAAAAATGTAGGAGAGGGAGTTCCGCGTGGTCCCAGCTCCACGGCGGGCCGAGGCCGGTGGAGGTCGCGGGCGCGTGAACGGGAATCAGCGCCCTCGCGTCGGTGCGCCGCAGCGTCCGGCGGCCGCCTGCTGGTCGACCCGGGACACGTGCAGACGCCGGCTAAGTCCGGAGCTCGCGGGCGGCAGCTGGTCGACCCCGGAGGTGCCGACCGAGACGGGGACGCGGCGGGTCCGGCTCGTCCCGACGGGCACTCTTACACGCCGCTCGGTGGAGAAGGCCCGCCGGTCGACCCGGGACACGGCGAGACAGCGGCTAAGTCTCAAGAGCCGAGAAGGCACCAAGGAAGGGGAGAGAGGGAGGGAGGGGGAGAGAGAGAGAGAGAGAGAGACAGAGAGAGACAGAGAGAAAGAGAGAGAGAGAGAGGGCGAGAGCGAGAGACAGAGAGAGAGAGAGAGAAAGAGAAAGAGAAAGAAAACGAGCGAGGGAGAGAGCGAGAGAGCGAGAGCGAGAGCGAGAAAGAAAGAAAGAAAGAAAGAAAGAAAGAAAGAAAGAAAGAAAAAAAAAAAAAAAAAAAAAAAGGCAAGACAAAACCTAAAAGCAAAAAAGGAGGAAGCAGTACTGGCTGACGGCAGCAGTGACTCCCTCTTAAAAGTCCCGCGGACGCAAACTCGCAGTGGGGCTGAAAAAAATGTAGGAGAGGGAGTTCCGCGTGGTCCCAGCTCCACGGCGGGCCGAGGCCGGTGGAGGTCGCGGGCGCGTGAACGGGAATCAGCGCCCTCGCGTCGGTGCGCCGCAGCGTCCGGCGGCCGCCTGCTGGTCGACCCGGGACACGTGCAGACGCCGGCTAAGTCCGGAGCTCGCGGGCGGCAGCTGGTCGACCCCGGAGGTGCCGACCGAGACGGGGACGCGGCGGGTCCGGCTCGTCCCGACGGGCACTCTTACACGCCGCTCGGTGGAGAAGGCCCGCCGGTCGACCCGGGGCACGGCGAGACAGCGGCTAAGTCTCAAGAGCCGAGAAGGCACCAAGGAAGGGGGGGGAGGGAGGGAGGGAGGGAGGGAGGGGGGGAGGGAGGGAGAGAGAGAGACACAGACAGAGACAGAGAGAGAGCGAGAGGGCGAGAGCGACAGAGAGAGAGAGAGAGAGAGAGAGAGAGAGAGAGAGAGAGAGAGAGACAGAGAGAAAGAGAGAGAGAGAGGGCGAGAGCGAGAGACAGAGAGAGAGAGAGAGAGAGAGAGAGAGAGAAAACGAGCGAGGGAGAGAGCGAGAGAGAGAGAAAACGAGCGAGGGAGGGAGAGAGCGAGAGCGAGAAAGAAAGAAAGAAAGAAAGAAAGAAAGAAAAAAAAAAAAAAAAAAAGGCAAGACAAAACCTAAAAGCAAAAAAGGAGGAAGCATTACTGGCTGACGGCAGCAGTGACTCCCTCTTAAAAGTCCCGCGGACGCAAACTCGCGGTGGGGCTGAAAAAAATGTGGGAGAGGGAGTTCCGCGTGGTCCCAGCTCCACCGCGGGCCGAGGCCGGTGGAGGTCGCGGGCGCGCGAACGGGAATCGACGCCCTCGCGTCGGTGCGCCGCAGCGTCCGGCGGCCGCCTGCTGGTCGACCCGGGACACGTGCAGGCGCCGGCTAAGTCCGGAGCTCGCGGGCGGCAGCTGGTCGACCCCGGAGGTGCCGACCGAGACGGGGACGCTCCGGTTGCGGTTCGTCCCGACGGGCACTCCTACACGCCGCTCGGTGGAGAAGGCCCGCCGGTCGACCCGGGACACGGCGAGACGCCGGCTGAGTCTCACGCCCGCGGGCGGCAGGCGGTCGACCCCGGAGGCCCGACCGAGGAGAGGTCGCGAGCGGAGGTCGGCCGGGTGCGGGGACGCCCCGTGGGGCCTCGCCGCCCGCCGCCCGCCACCCGCGGTCTGCTGGTCGACCCGTGCGGAGGAGCGAGGAGGAAGGACGCGCGAGGGCCGGGACCCCGGGTGGCCGCCCCACCGGGGCCCGCGCGGCCAACCCCCGGGACGGGGACCGGCGGGCCACGGGCCCGGCTCGGCGCGGCCGCCTCCGCGGCTCCCAAACCACGCTCCCCGGACCCCGTCCCGGCCCGGAGCGGACGAGCCGCCCCGGCGGTGAACGGGGAGGAGGCGGGAACCGAAGAAGCGGGGCGCGCCGACCGGGGTCGCGCGCCCTCCCCCCCCCACCCCCACCACCACGCCCGCGGTCGGCGGGAGAGGCCGGGAGGGAGGAAGACGAACGGAAGGACGGACGGCGCCGGACGCGCACGCCCCGCCGGGCCCCCCGCACGCACGCGCGCGCGCGCGCGCGCGGACAAACCCTTGTGTCGAGGGCTGACTTTCAATAGATCGCAGCGAGGGAGCTGCTCTGCTACGTACGAAACCCCGACCCAGAAGCAGGTCGTCTACGAATGGTTTAGCGCCAGGTTCCCCACGAACGTGCGGTGCGTGACGGGCGAGGGGGCGGCCGCCTTTCCGGCCGCGCCCCGTTTCCCAGGACGAAGGGCACTCCGCACCGGACCCCGGTCCCGGCGCGCGGCGGGGCACGCGCCCTCCCGCGCGCGCGGGGCGCGTGGAGGGGGGGGGCGGCCCGCCGGCGGGGACAGGCGGGGGACCGGCTATCCGAGGCCAACCGAGGCTCCGCGGCGCTGCCGTATCGTTCCGCCTGGGCGGGATTCTGACTTAGAGGCGTTCAGTCATAATCCCACAGATGGTAGCTTCGCCCCATTGGCTCCTCAGCCAAGCACATACACCAAATGTCTGAACCTGCGGTTCCTCTCGTACTGAGCAGGATTACCATGGCAACAACACATCATCAGTAGGGTAAAACTAACCTGTCTCACGACGGTCTAAACCCAGCTCACGTTCCCTATTAGTGGGTGAACAATCCAACGCTTGGTGAATTCTGCTTCACAATGATAGGAAGAGCCGACATCGAAGGATCAAAAAGCGACGTCGCTATGAACGCTTGGCCGCCACAAGCCAGTTATCCCTGTGGTAACTTTTCTGACACCTCCTGCTTAAAACCCAAAAGGTCAGAAGGATCGTGAGGCCCCGCTTTCACGGTCTGTATTCGTACTGAAAATCAAGATCAAGCGAGCTTTTGCCCTTCTGCTCCACGGGAGGTTTCTGTCCTCCCTGAGCTCGCCTTAGGACACCTGCGTTACCGTTTGACAGGTGTACCGCCCCAGTCAAACTCCCCACCTGGCACTGTCCCCGGAGCGGGTCGCGCCCGGCCGGCGCGCGGCCGGGCGCTTGGCGCCAGAAGCGAGAGCCCCTCGGGGCTCGCCCCCCCGCCTCACCGGGTCAGTGAAAAAACGATCAGAGTAGTGGTATTTCACCGGCGGCCCGCAGGGCCGGCGGACCCCGCCCCGGGCCCCTCGCGGGGACACCGGGGGGGCGCCGGGGGCCTCCCACTTATTCTACACCTCTCATGTCTCTTCACCGTGCCAGACTAGAGTCAAGCTCAACAGGGTCTTCTTTCCCCGCTGATTCCGCCAAGCCCGTTCCCTTGGCTGTGGTTTCGCTGGATAGTAGGTAGGGACAGTGGGAATCTCGTTCATCCATTCATGCGCGTCACTAATTAGATGACGAGGCATTTGGCTACCTTAAGAGAGTCATAGTTACTCCCGCCGTTTACCCGCGCTTCATTGAATTTCTTCACTTTGACATTCAGAGCACTGGGCAGAAATCACATCGCGTCAACACCCGCCGCGGGCCTTCGCGATGCTTTGTTTTAATTAAACAGTCGGATTCCCCTGGTCCGCACCAGTTCTAAGTCGGCTGCTAGGCGCCGGCCGAGGCGAGGCGCCGCGCGGAACCGCGGCCCCGGGGGCGGACCCGGCGGGGGGGACCGGCCCGCGGCCCCTCCGCCGCCCGCCGCCGCCGCCGCCGCCGCGCGCCGAGGAGGAGGGGGGAACGGGGGGCGGACGGGGCCGGGGGGGTAGGGCGGGGGGACGAACCGCCCCGCCCCGCCGCCCGCCGACCGCCGCCGCCGCCCGACCGCTCCCCGCCCCCAGCGGACGCGCGCGCGACGAGACGTGGGGTGGGGGTGGGGGGGGCGCGCCGGCGCCCGCCGGGCTCCCCGGGGGCGGCCGCGACGCCCGCCGCAGCTGGGGCGATCCACGGGAAGGGCCCGGCTCGCGTCCAGAGTCGCCGCCGCCGCCGGCCCCCCGGGTGCCCGGGCCCCCCTCGCGGGGGACCGTGCCCCCGCCGCCGGGGCCCCGCGGCGGCCGCCGCCGGCCCCTGCCGCCCCGACCCTTCTCCCCCCGCCGCCGCCCCCACGCGGCGCTCCCCCGGGGAGGGGGGAGGACGGGGAGCGGGGGAGAGAGAGAGAGAGAGGGCGCGGGGTGGGGAGGGAGCGAGCGGCGCGCGCGGGGTGGGGCGGGGGAGGGCCGCGAGGGGGGTGCCCCGGGCGTGGGGGGGGCGGCGGCGCCTCGTCCAGCCGCGGCGCGCGCCCAGCCCCGCTTCGCGCCCCAGCCCGACCGACCCAGCCCTTAGAGCCAATCCTTATCCCGAAGTTACGGATCCGGCTTGCCGACTTCCCTTACCTACATTGTTCCAACATGCCAGAGGCTGTTCACCTTGGAGACCTGCTGCGGATATGGGTACGGCCCGGCGCGAGATTTACACCCTCTCCCCCGGATTTTCAAGGGCCAGCGAGAGCTCACCGGACGCCGCCGGAACCGCGACGCTTTCCAAGGCACGGGCCCCTCTCTCGGGGCGAACCCATTCCAGGGCGCCCTGCCCTTCACAAAGAAAAGAGAACTCTCCCCGGGGCTCCCGCCGGCTTCTCCGGGATCGGTCGCGTTACCGCACTGGACGCCTCGCGGCGCCCATCTCCGCCACTCCGGATTCGGGGATCTGAACCCGACTCCCTTTCGATCGGCCGAGGGCAACGGAGGCCATCGCCCGTCCCTTCGGAACGGCGCTCGCCCATCTCTCAGGACCGACTGACCCATGTTCAACTGCTGTTCACATGGAACCCTTCTCCACTTCGGCCTTCAAAGTTCTCGTTTGAATATTTGCTACTACCACCAAGATCTGCACCTGCGGCGGCTCCACCCGGGCCCGCGCCCTAGGCTTCAAGGCTCACCGCAGCGGCCCTCCTACTCGTCGCGGCGTAGCGTCCGCGGGGCTCCGGGGGCGGGGAGCGGGGCGTGGGCGGGAGGAGGGGAGGAGGCGTGGGGGGGGGGGCGGGGGAGGACCCCACACCCCCGCCGCCGCCGCCGCCGCCGCCCTCCGACGCACACCACACGCGCGCGCGCGCGCGCCGCCCCCGCCGCTCCCGTCCACTCTCGACTGCCGGCGACGGCCGGGTATGGGCCCGACGCTCCAGCGCCATCCATTTTCAGGGCTAGTTGATTCGGCAGGTGAGTTGTTACACACTCCTTAGCGGATTCCGACTTCCATGGCCACCGTCCTGCTGTCTATATCAACCAACACCTTTTCTGGGGTCTGATGAGCGTCGGCATCGGGCGCCTTAACCCGGCGTTCGGTTCATCCCGCAGCGCCAGTTCTGCTTACCAAAAGTGGCCCACTAGGCACTCGCATTCCACGCCCGGCTCCACGCCAGCGAGCCGGGCTTCTTACCCATTTAAAGTTTGAGAATAGGTTGAGATCGTTTCGGCCCCAAGACCTCTAATCATTCGCTTTACCGGATAAAACTGCGTGGCGGGGGTGCGTCGGGTCTGCGAGAGCGCCAGCTATCCTGAGGGAAACTTCGGAGGGAACCAGCTACTAGATGGTTCGATTAGTCTTTCGCCCCTATACCCAGGTCGGACGACCGATTTGCACGTCAGGACCGCTACGGACCTCCACCAGAGTTTCCTCTGGCTTCGCCCTGCCCAGGCATAGTTCACCATCTTTCGGGTCCTAACACGTGCGCTCGTGCTCCACCTCCCCGGCGCGGCGGGCGAGACGGGCCGGTGGTGCGCCCTCGGCGGACTGGAGAGGCCTCGGGATCCCACCTCGGCCGGCGAGCGCGCCGGCCTTCACCTTCATTGCGCCACGGCGGCTTTCGTGCGAGCCCCCGACTCGCGCACGTGTTAGACTCCTTGGTCCGTGTTTCAAGACGGGTCGGGTGGGTAGCCGACGTCGCCGCCGACCCCGTGCGCTCGCTCCGCCGTCCCCCTCTTCGGGGGACGCGCGCGTGGCCCCGAGAGAACCTCCCCCGGGCCCGACGGCGCGACCCGCCCGGGGCGCACTGGGGACAGTCCGCCCCGCCCCCCGACCCGCGCGCGGCACCCCCCCCGTCGCCGGGGCGGGGGCGCGGGGAGGAGGGGTGGGAGAGCGGTCGCGCCGTGGGAGGGGTGGCCCGGCCCCCCCACGAGGAGACGCCGGCGCGCCCCCGCGGGGGAGACCCCCCTCGCGGGGGATTCCCCGCGGGGGTGGGCGCCGGGAGGGGGGAGAGCGCGGCGACGGGTCTCGCTCCCTCGGCCCCGGGATTCGGCGAGTGCTGCTGCCGGGGGGGCTGTAACACTCGGGGGGGGTTTCGGTCCCGCCGCCGCCGCCGCCGCCGCCACCGCCGCCGCCGCCGCCGCCCCGACCCGCGCGCCCTCCCGAGGGAGGACGCGGGGCCGGGGGGCGGAGACGGGGGAGGAGGAGGACGGACGGACGGACGGACGGGGCCCCCCGAGCCACCTTCCCCGCCGGGCCTTCCCAGCCGTCCCGGAGCCGGTCGCGGCGCACCGCCGCGGTGGAAATGCGCCCGGCGGCGGCCGGTCGCCGGTCGGGGGACGGTCCCCCGCCGACCCCACCCCCGGCCCCGCCCGCCCACCCCCGCACCCGCCGGAGCCCGCCCCCTCCGGGGAGGAGGAGGAGGGGCGGCGGGGGAAGGGAGGGCGGGTGGAGGGGTCGGGAGGAACGGGGGGCGGGAAAGATCCGCCGGGCCGCCGACACGGCCGGACCCGCCGCCGGGTTGAATCCTCCGGGCGGACTGCGCGGACCCCACCCGTTTACCTCTTAACGGTTTCACGCCCTCTTGAACTCTCTCTTCAAAGTTCTTTTCAACTTTCCCTTACGGTACTTGTTGACTATCGGTCTCGTGCCGGTATTTAGCCTTAGATGGAGTTTACCACCCGCTTTGGGCTGCATTCCCAAGCAACCCGACTCCGGGAAGACCCGGGCCCGGCGCGCCGGGGGCCGCTACCGGCCTCACACCGTCCACGGGCTGGGCCTCGATCAGAAGGACTTGGGCCCCCCACGAGCGGCGCCGGGGAGCGGGTCTTCCGTACGCCACATGTCCCGCGCCCCGCCGCGGGGCGGGGATTCGGCGCTGGGCTCTTCCCTGTTCACTCGCCGTTACTGAGGGAATCCTGGTTAGTTTCTTCTCCTCCGCTGACTAATATGCTTAAATTCAGCGGGTCGCCACGTCTGATCTGAGGTCGCGTCTCGGAGGGGGACGGGCCGCTCGGCGGACGGACGGACGGAATCGCGCCGGCCCGACCGCCCGCCCGACGCTCCGTCGGGAGACGGGCCCGGCGAGGGGGAGAGGCGACGGGAGAGAGAGCGCGCGGCCGACGGCACCCCCGCGCCGCCCCGCCGGAGCGGGACGACCGGAGGGAGGGGCACGGGCCGGGGGCGGGACGGGCGCCGCACGCCCCGACCCGTCTCCCCCGCGGAGGTCGGGGGGACGGGTCCGAGGACGCGGCGGCGGAGCCGCCCCGCCCCGACGCGGAAGCTCGGGACGGGGCCCCGGCGCGGCGCGGCGCGGCCGCGAGCCGGAGGCGGGCGCGCGACGGCGGACGACACCGCGGCGTCCCGCGGGTCGCCGCCGGGGACACGCGAACCCCGGCGCCGCGGCCACGGGCGCGGCCGGGCGGGCCGCGGGGCGGGCTCCCGGCCCCGGCCGACGCGCCGCGAGGCGAGCCGGGCGGGCGGGCGCGCGCGCGTACGCGCGGGGAGGGCGAGGAGGACGGGCGGGGCCTCGGAGGAGGGGCGGCGGGGAGGAGGAGGGGCGCGGGAGCGGCGGTCGGCCGGACGCCGGGCCGCCACCGGGGGCGGGCGGCGAACCGCGGCGACCGGGACGCGCTCCCCCGACCCTCTCTCCCCGCCGGCACCCTTCCCCTTCCGGACCCGCCTTCCTCCTCCCCCACCACCACACCGCACGCAACACGCCCCCACCGCCGACGACGCGCGACGACGACGACGACGACGGGCACGGGACCTTCCACCCGGCCGGGGCCGACGAACCCCGAACCCCGAGCCGCGCGCGGCGCGAGGGAGCCCCCCGAGGGAGGAACCCGGACCGCAGGCGGCGGCCACGGGAACTCGGCCCGAGCCGGCTCTCTCTTTCCCTCTCCGTCTTCGCGGGCGGCGGCGGCGCCGCCCTCCCCGTCTCTCTCAGCCGGGCGCGCCCCCCTCTCCCCCCCGCCACCCGACGCGTGACCACGCAGGGCCCGCGGGGGGAGGGGGAAGGGGCGGGCGCGGCGGCAAGGGGAGGGCGGACGCCGCCGGGTCTGCGCTTAGGGGGACGGAGGGCCCCCGGCGGGCCCTGCGAGGGAACCCCCAGCCGCGCACCCCGAGGAGCCCGGAGGCACCCCCGGGGGCGATTGATCGGCAAGCGACGCTCAGACAGGCGTAGCCCCGGGAGGAACCCGGGGCCGCAAGTGCGTTCGAAGTGTCGATGATCAATGTGTCCTGCAATTCACATTAATTCTCGCAGCTAGCTGCGTTCTTCATCGACGCACGAGCCGAGTGATCCACCGCTAAGAGTCGTACGAGGTCGATTTGGCGAGGGCGCTCCCGACGACGCACCGGGAGGAGGCCCTTCCTGGCGCGGCACGTCCCCCCCCCCCCGCCCAAGAGGAGAGGGGGTTGCCTCAGGCCGGCCAGACGAGACAGCGAACGGGACCGGACTCCGGAGAGGGGTCGGAAGGTTTCACACCACGGGGAGGCGCGCGCCGCCCACGCGGGGGCGAGCGCGGACACCACCCCACAGGCGCCCGGGGGTTCCCGCCCCCACGGCGCGGGGCGCACGCCACACGCGCGGCAGGCGCGCGACGGCCGCCGGGTAAAGCCCCCACCCGACGGCCGCCGCGGCGTCGGCGGCGGCGCGGCCCCGGCCGGGGAGCGGAGTCCGCGGTGGAGGCGCGGGAGGGGCCGGGCCCCTCCCGACGGGACTCCCCCGCGGGCCCACCACCGCCCCCGACCCACGGGCGGACGGGCGATCCCCCCAAGGGGTCTTTAAACCTCCGCGCCGGAACGCGCTAGGTACCTGGACGGCGGGGGGGCGGACGAGGAGGCGGGGGAGGGGACCGGCGTCCGGCCCCCGACCCTCGAGACGCCCTAGCGGGAAGGCCGGGGAGAGCGAGCGGGGCCGTGCCCGGCGGCGCGGAGCGGCGCGGCGGAGGCGACGGGAATCCGGCCGGCCCCGAAGACGGGGAGCCGGCGCGGCGGGGCCGGACGACGGGCCCCGGCGGGGAGGAGGGCACCGAGACCCCCCCAGACCCGCCGCGACGCCGCCGAGAACCGCCCCCGCGCCCGCCGACACCCACGTCGTCGGGGCCGCGGCCGGGGACCGCTCCCCGCCGCCCGCCGGCCCCACGACACGCGCACACCAACGACACGCCCTTCTTTCTCTCTCTCTCTCTCTCTCTCTCCCCCCCGTCTCCCTCCCGAGTTCTCCGGCTCTCGCGGCCGGCGGGGCCGGGCGGCGAACGAACGAGCGAGCGAACGAACGGGCACGCGGGCCCCGCCCGCGCACGCGCCGCGTCGCGGTGGGGGGGTGGGTGTGCGGAGGGAAGCGCGCGGCGGCGGCGGCGCCGCCGCGGGCCTCGCCCTCCGGGCTCCGTTAATGATCCTTCCGCAGGTTCACCTACGGAAACCTTGTTACGACTTTTACTTCCTCTAGATAGTCAAGTTCGACCGTCTTCTCAGCGCTCCGCCAGGGCCGTGGGCCGACCCCGGCGGGGCCGATCCGAGGGCCTCACTAAACCATCCAATCGGTAGTAGCGACGGGCGGTGTGTACAAAGGGCAGGGACTTAATCAACGCAAGCTTATGACCCGCACTTACTGGGAATTCCTCGTTCATGGGGAATAATTGCAATCCCCGATCCCCATCACGAATGGGGTTCAACGGGTTACCCGCGCCTGCCGGCGTAGGGTAGGCACACGCTGAGCCAGTCAGTGTAGCGCGCGTGCAGCCCCGGACATCTAAGGGCATCACAGACCTGTTATTGCTCAATCTCGGGTGGCTGAACGCCACTTGTCCCTCTAAGAAGTTGGGGGACGCCGACCGCTCGGGGGTCGCGTAACTAGTTAGCATGCCAGAGTCTCGTTCGTTATCGGAATTAACCAGACAAATCGCTCCACCAACTAAGAACGGCCATGCACCACCACCCACGGAATCGAGAAAGAGCTATCAATCTGTCAATCCTGTCCGTGTCCGGGCCGGGTGAGGTTTCCCGTGTTGAGTCAAATTAAGCCGCAGGCTCCACTCCTGGTGGTGCCCTTCCGTCAATTCCTTTAAGTTTCAGCTTTGCAACCATACTCCCCCCGGAACCCAAAGACTTTGGTTTCCCGGAAGCTGCCCGGCGGGTCATGGGAATAACGCCGCCGCATCGCCGGTCGGCATCGTTTATGGTCGGAACTACGACGGTATCTGATCGTCTTCGAACCTCCGACTTTCGTTCTTGATTAATGAAAACATTCTTGGCAAATGCTTTCGCTCTGGTCCGTCTTGCGCCGGTCCAAGAATTTCACCTCTAGCGGCGCAATACGAATGCCCCCGGCCGTCCCTCTTAATCATGGCCTCAGTTCCGAAAACCAACAAAATAGAACCGCGGTCCTATTCCATTATTCCTAGCTGCGGTATCCAGGCGGCTCGGGCCTGCTTTGAACACTCTAATTTTTTCAAAGTAAACGCTTCGGGCCCCGCGGGACACTCAGCTAAGAGCATCGAGGGGGCGCCGAGAGGCAAGGGGCGGGGACGGGCGGTGGCTCGCCTCGCGGCGGACCGCCCGCCCGCTCCCAAGATCCAACTACGAGCTTTTTAACTGCAGCAACTTTAATATACGCTATTGGAGCTGGAATTACCGCGGCTGCTGGCACCAGACTTGCCCTCCAATGGATCCTCGTTAAAGGATTTAAAGTGGACTCATTCCAATTACAGGGCCTCGAAAGAGTCCTGTATTGTTATTTTTCGTCACTACCTCCCCGGGTCGGGAGTGGGTAATTTGCGCGCCTGCTGCCTTCCTTGGATGTGGTAGCCGTTTCTCAGGCTCCCTCTCCGGAATCGAACCCTGATTCCCCGTCACCCGTGGTCACCATGGTAGGCACGGCGACTACCATCGAAAGTTGATAGGGCAGACGTTCGAATGGGTCGTCGCCGCCACGGGGGGCGTGCGATCGGCCCGAGGTTATCTAGAGTCACCAAAGCCGCCGGCGCCCGCCCCCCGGCCGGGGCCGGAGAGGGGCTGACCGGGTTGGTTTTGATCTGATAAATGCACGCATCCCCCCCGCGAAGGGGGTCAGCGCCCGTCGGCATGTATTAGCTCTAGAATTACCACAGTTATCCAAGTAGGAGAGGAGCGAGCGACCAAAGGAACCATAACTGATTTAATGAGCCATTCGCAGTTTCACTGTACCGGCCGTGCGTACTTAGACATGCATGGCTTAATCTTTGAGACAAGCATATGCTACTGGCAGGATCAACCAGGTAGGTAAGGTAGAGCGCGGCGAGGCCCCGACGCGGCCGGACGGCCGGCCGGGGGGCCTCGCGAGGACGGGCCCGGCGCCCCGCAAGCGAGGAGGACGACGGACGGACGGACGGACGGGCCGCGGACGGGCGGACGGGAGGGAGCGAGCGGGCGCGGGGGCGGCGGCCGGGACCGGTGGGGCCGGGGCGGGGCGCGGCGAACCGGACGCCCCAACCACCCGCCCCCCACGCGACACGACCACCGGGGCCCCGCGCCACAGACCCGCGACGCTTCTTCGTCGCGCCCGCCCGCGAGGAGGCGGACGGCCCGACCCGCGCCCGGCGGCCGGGAGGGACCGGCGGCCACGCGCGCGCGCGCGCGGCCGGCGCCCGCGGGCGGCGGCGAGGCGGGGACGGCGCTCCGCCCGCCCCGCGGGGCGGCCCCGACGTCCGGGCGGCGAGCGAGAGGCGGACCGCGGTGCCCGGCCCGGGGACAGTCGCGCCGTGCGGCCGCAGCGCCCGCGCACCGGTCCCGGTCGAGGGCCCGGGGCCCGGCCGAAGCCCGGCTCCGAGCCCCGCCGGCGGGCGCGGGCGCAGGGGTGGCACACGCCACACGACGGCCAAGGGAGGGCGACCGAGGCCGGCCGGCGCGCCCGCCCCCGCCCGGGACGGGGGACCGCGACCGGGGCCGAGGCCCCGGCCCGGGCCCCACCCCCCGACCCGGGGAGAGGGCGAGCGACCGGCAAGGCGGAGGTCGACCCACGCCACACGTCGCACGAACGCCTGTCCGGGAGGGACCACCGGGCCGCGCTCGGGCGCACGCGCGCGCCGAACGGGGCGACGCCACGCGGGGAGGACGGGCTCTCCCCGACGCCGACGCCCGGGACGGACGCCTCGGGGAAGGGCCGCGGCAGGCCCGGGAAGCGAGGCGCACCCGGGGGACGCGCCGACCCGGTTCGGAAGAGCGGGCCGGGAGAAGACGAGAGACCACGGGCGAGGCCGGGGCGACGGGGAAGGCGCGAGAAAGGCGGCCGGCGGGGAAGGGGACGCCACGGGGACCCCTCGAGCGCGGCCGACCGCAGCCGGGACGCACGCGCGGGGCCTCACCGCCGCCGGCGGCACCGCGCGGCACCCGGGGCGGCCGACCGGCCCTCGGCGATCCCCGCGGCTCCCCCCACCACCGCCGCCGCGGTCGCGGCCGGTCCCCCGGAACCGTCTCCTCCCCCGCACGCGCCGCAGGCCGACCCCCGGAACCCTCCGGGAAGCCCACCGGGCCCCACGCGGGGCGCCACCGACCCGGTCCCCAAGGCGCGCGCCGGGGGACGCGGACGCCGGGCCGATCAGTGGCCGGCGGCGGCGCCCCACGAGGCGGTGCCGGGTTCGGTCCCAGGCGGGGCCACCAACGGACGTGAAGCCGGTGAGCCGCTCGGGGGGAAGAAGAGGATCGGCGGGCGGCGGGCGGGGAAGAGGGCACAGACGGGCGAGGGCCGGGGACCGCGAGGGCAAGGGCACCCGGGAGCCCGCAGAGGCGGCGGCTCGGGGAGAAACCTCAGGCACGGCCGGGCCACCAGGAAAACACGGCCGCGGGATCCCACCGCCACAGACACGAGGGCGGTCCCGCGGCGCCCCGCCTGGGACGCCGGACGGCCCTCGGCCCCCACCGAGAACCGCCTCGCGAGCCCCGGGGCCCCGCCACCGGGGGCCCCGGAGCGACCGCAGCCACGAACCCGACACGCCACCACCACCGTCGCTCGTGATTCTCGTCCATCCTCCGACCCGGTCCCGCTCCGGGAGACCGGCGCGCCCCCACCGTGGGACGCTTTCCCAGGGCCAGGCGGGCCCGACCCCGTGCCACGCAAACGCGGTCGTCGGCACCGGTCACGACTCGGCACGGGAGCGGGCGGAGAGCCGACTCGCGGCGGAGGGAGTCACGCGCCGGACAGAGCGCCGGGCGCGCACACCCACCGCCCGCCGGCCGCCGCGTCCCAACCCGCTGGGACGCCGGGCCCGGCCCGGCGGGATCCTCCCCCGACTCGGAAGGGGGAGGCGCGGGCCACAGTAGGCGACGAGCCGCACTCGGCCACCACCGCGGTGGCCGGCGGAACCCTCGCTTCTCCCCCCCAACCCCGTCGAGGGGGAAGCGGAGGAGGGTCCTCTGCGAGCGGGTCGCTACGGCAGCGCTACCATAACGGAGGCAGAGACAGAGGCGGCGGCCCGGGGGATCCGGTACCCCCAAGGCACGCCTCTCAGATCGCTAGAGAAGGCTTTTCTCACCGAGGGTGGGTCACACTCCCCCCACCCGCCAGCCGCTCCTCCTCGGGCCCGCAGAGGCGCCGAGGGACGCCTGGGGAAGGGAGGGGGCCCTGCGGTACGAGGAAACACCTGCGCGCGGCCACCTCGAGCGTTCGCGTTCAGGGCGGGGGCCCGGCCGGTGCGCGCGTGCGCGCAACCCCACCAGGCCCCCCCGTCCACCCACCTCCTTCCTTCCGAGGCAGAGCGCCTCCGAAGTCAACCCACACACGACCGGTCGGAGGCAGAACGGCAGCCCCTCGGCGGCCGGCCGGCGCACGCGTCACACCGGCCCGAACCCACCGCGATCGCTCACACGGCCCGCGCGCACCCGCCAGAGGGGAGCACGGGACGTGCGCTCACCGAGAGCAGGCGGGCGCCCTTCCCCGCGTGGGAGGGGCGCGTCTCGTCTCGTCTCACTCAAACCGCCTCGAACCCCACACCGACGAGCTCCCTCAGGACCCACGCGCGGACACCGCGGCGGCGACCGGAGGAGGGGGCGCCGGGGGCGGGAACGACACACCACCGTTCGGCCTCGGGCACCTGAGGGACAACCCGGAGCGCTCCAGGAGCACCGCAAGGGCCCAGGCGGAGCCGACGCTCGCGCAAACCCCCCGAGAGGGCAGCACGACGGGCCGGCGGGACGGCACCCCCACCGCCGCGGAGGGGGGCCGCCCGCAAGTCGACAACCACTGGAGGCGACAGCGAGGGCTGTCTGCCGCGTCAGAGGACCCCGCCGGCCCGCACCCGCGACGCAGAAGGCGGCGGGCGGGACGGCGAGGTCGGGCCGGGGTCCGCACCCCACGCCTTCCCACACGCACCGCCGGCGGGCGGGGAGAGGAGAGACGAGGGGACCCCCGCGGGGCGGAGCGAGAAGGACGGTCCCGTTCGCCACGAACGTCCGCCCCTCGCCCGTCGCGGCTCGGACCCGGCCCGGGAGAGCACGACGTCACCACATCGATCACGAAGAGCCCCCCGGGAGCGGAGGCCGGCCGGCCGGCCAGCGAGCCGATCGGCTCCGGCCAACCCCCCACTCCGGGGAAGGGGCGGCGGACAACCCCGCGGAGACGAGAACGCCTGACACGCACGGCACGGAGCCAGCGGGGTGGGGTTGTCGCGGCCGCCCCGGGCGCCCGCAGCGGAGAGCGCACGGGGGCACGGTGGCCCTCGCCGCCTTCCCCGCCGCCCCCGGGTGGGTCAGAGACCCGGACCCGGGCCGGCACCGGGAGTCGGGACGCTCGGACGCGCGAGAGAACAGCAGGCCCGCGGGCCCCGGCAGGCGGCTCAAGCAGGAGCGCGGCCGGCTAGCCGGGTCACCGGTAGGCCAGAGCCCCGCGCGCATCCGGAGGCCCAACCTCTCCAGCGACAGGTCGCCAGAGGACAGCGTGTCAGCAATAACCCGGCGGCCCAAAATGCCGACTCGGAGCGAAAGATATACCTCCCCCGGGGCCGGGAGGTCGCGTCACCGACCACGCCGCCGGCCCAGGCGACGCGCGACACGGACACCTGTCCCCAAAAACGCCACCATCGCAGCCACACACGGAGCGCCCGGGGCCCTCTGGTCAACCCCAGGACACACGCGGGAGCAGCGCCGGGCCGGGGACGCCCTCCCGGCCGCCCGTGCCACACGCAGGGGGCCGGCCCGTGTCTCCAGAGCGGGAGCCGGAAGCATTTTCGGCCGGCCCCTCCTACGACCGGGACACACGAGGGACCGAAGGCCGGCCAGGCGCGACCTCTCGGGCCGCACGCGCGCTCAGGGAGCGCTCTCCGACTCCGCACGGGGACTCGCCAGAAAGGATCGCGGCAGAGGGACCGCGGCCCGGCCCGGGGACCGCTCCCCGGCACCCGGGGGACGGGGGCGGGACGGTCCCCGGCTCCCCACGGGGACTCGGAAACGAATTCGGCCGCCGCCTCAGACGGCCAGGATGAGCGCGGACCCGCGACCGGGCCGGGAAGGGCGTCCCCAGCCTCCCGCGCCACGCGCGGCGGGTCCCCGCGGGTCGCGGCTCGGGCCTCGGGAGCTACGGCGCGCTGGTCGACCGGCCCGGGCAGCCCCACGCCCGCCGCGGGCCCAGAAGCGCAGCGACAGCCTCTCCCCCACATAAACCTGCACGCCAGAGCTGTGACTCACAAGCGACGCGCCACAGCTCTGGCGCCACCGGGCCAGCCGGGCTGACGACCGCGGGCTTTCCGGAGCTCTGCCTAGCTCACAGCGGGGACGGTCCCCTCCCTCGGCAGCTGCCACCGCAGCTCCGGAAGCCGAGAGCACGATCTCAAAGCGGCCGCCAGATGGAGCCCGACAACCGCCGCGGACGTCAGCGAGACAGATCCGGCTGGCAGGGCGGCCCGTGGACCGCGAAAGCGAAACCGTGAGTCGAGAAGCTCTTCCCGAGGCCGAAAACGCAGCCCCTCTGCCCCAACCCCACACAAACGGTGCCCAAAACGCGTCTCTGCCTCGACCGCGACAGAGTCAGAAGACAACCCACGGCGCGTGGGTGTTTGGAGATGCCTCTCGGAAGCAGGGAGGGAGGGAGGGAGGGAGGGAGGGAGGGAGGGAGAAAGAACACACAAGGACTCGGTCGCGGGTCGCTGCAGACACACGGAGAGGCAGAATGCGTAGGCTCTTCCGGAATCCACGCAGAGACAGACGGGGGGAGGGGAGTGGGGAAAAGAGACAGATGGCGAAAGGGAAGGAGGGAGGGAAGGGAGCAGGGAGGGAGGGAGGGAGGGAGGGAGGAAGAAAATGGAGAAAAGAGAGACAATTTAGAAAACGTAGATACACAAAGTAAACTTCTGAAACACTCCATTTTTTAAAAGACAGACGGGAAGGAAAGAAACACGAAAAAGAGAGAAAGAATGAGGAAAGAAACGAAGGAAAGAAGGGAAAAAGAAACAGAGAGGAAAGAAAAAAGAAGGAAACACAGGGAACGAAAGAGAAATAAAGCACGAAGGAAAAAAGGACAGAAAGAGAGAAAGAAGGAAAGGAAGAGAGGAAGAAAAACCTAAAGAAGGAGAGAAAGGAAGAAAGGAAGGAAGAAAAACACGAAGGAGAGGAAGAAAGAAAACAGAGATAACTACGTACGCTCGTTCATTTACACACATAAATACGACGCTTTTCATACGTAAAATAAACGTCTTTATCGACGATCCCTTCTTTATAGAGCGATGTGTATTTATTTGTATAACACAAACACCTACATCTATCATACAGAAGTCTATTTCCATACAACCGATACGTATTTACCATACGCAAGAGTATTCAATGCAGAGATACACGTTGTCGTTGTTTGCATATAAGCGTACAGAAACGTTTACATTAATACATATAAGTAAACGCGTGGAAACGAAAGAAATAAAAAAGCGAAATGAGTCAACAGGCCGGGCACGGTGGCTCACGCCCGTCATCCCAGCACTTCGAGAGGCCGAGGTGGGCGCATCACAGGAGGTCGGGAGTTGGAGACCAGCCTGAGCAACATGGAGAGACACGGCGTGCCTACTAAAAACACAAACATCAGCCAAGCCAGGCGTGGGGGTGCCTCCCTGTAATCCCCGCTAATCGGGAGGCTGAGGCAGGAGAAGCGCTCGAACCCGGGAGGCGGAAGGTGCGGTGAGCCAAGATCGCGCCATTGCACTCTAGCCGTGGAAACAAGAGTGAAACTCTGTCTCAAAAGGACGAAACAGAAAGAAAGAAAGAAAGAAAGAAAGAAAGAAAGAAAGAAAGATAGAAAGAAAGAAAGAAAGAAAGGAAAGAAAGAAAGAATGAATGAATGAAAGAAAAGAAAGCAAGAAAGAAAGAAAAAGAAAAGAAAGAAAGAAAAGAAAGCAAGAAAGAAAGCACGAAAGCAAGCAAGCAAGAAAGCAAGAAAACAAGGAAGCAAGAAAGCAAGCAAGAAAGAAACAAAAGAAAGAAAGCAAGAAAACAAGAAAGCACGAAAGCAAGCAAGCAAGAAAGCAAGAAAACAAGGAAGCAAGAAAGAAAGAAACAAAAGAAAGAAAGAAAACAAGAAAGCAAGAAAGCACGAAAGCAATCAAGCAAGAAAGCAAGCAGGAAAGAAACAAAAGAAAGAAAGAAATCGAGAAAACAAGAAAGCACGAAAGCAAGCAAGCAAGAAAGCAAGCAAGAAAGAAACAAAAGAAAGAAAGAAAGAAAGAAAGAAAGCAAGAAAGCACGAAAGCAAGCAAGCAAGAAAGCAAGCAGGAAAGAAACAAAAGAAAGAAAGAAATCGAGAAAACAAGAAAGCACGAAAGCAAGCAAGCAGGAAAGCAAGCAAGAAAGAAAGAAAAGAAAGAAAGAAAGAAAGAAAACAGGAAAGCAAGAAAGCACGAAAGCAAGCAAGCAAGCAAGAAAGCAAGCAAGAAAGAAACAAAAGAAAGAAAGAAAGAAAGAAAGAAAGAAAACAGGAAAGCAAGAAAGCACGAAAGCAAGCAAGCAAGCAAGAAAGCAAGCATGAAAGAAACGAAAGAAAGAAAGAAAGCAAGAAAACGGGAAAGCAAGAAAGCACGAAAGCAAGCAAGCAAGCGAGCGAGAGAGAGAGAGAGAGAGAGAGAGAGAGAGAGAGAGGCTGGGCGCGGTGGCTCACGCCTGTCATCCCAGCACTTTGGGAGGCTAAGGCAGGCGGACCACCTGAGGTTGGGAGTGGGAGACCAGCCTGACCAACATGGAAAAACACCGTCTCTACTAAAAGTACAAACATCAGCCAGGCACGGTGGCCCATGCCTGTAATCCCAGCTAATCAGGAGGCTGAGGCAGGAGAATCGCTTGAACCTGGGAGGCGGAGGGTGCGGTGAGCCGAGATCGCGCCATTGCCCTCTAGCCTGGGCAACAAGAGTGAAACTCTGTCTCAAAAAAAAGAAGAAGAAGAAGAAGAAAAAGAGAAAGTAATAAAGAAAGAAAGAAAGAAAGAAAAGGCAAGGCCAGGCAAGGCCAGGCAAGGCAAATCTACCTGCTTTCACTACATCTGGGGAGAATCAGGAAAGTCCCCAACAACAACAAGGCCTAAAGTGGAGCTGCCATCTGTCAAACCCGAGCGGAAGAGTCCACGCGGGTTAAAGACACGAAGAAAGACAAGGAAACCCCTGACCAAGGAGAAGAACAATCGGGCCCAGCCAGGGTCTGTCTCCCGGGGTTGTCTGGGCAACCAGGGAGGGCGGGCCTCCGAGACTCCGTCTCGAAACATCAATCACGATAATAACATAAAATGAAGTTAAAAAAAGAAATCACGCATAATTCCTAACGTGTTTGAGGCCTCGAAAGGCGAGAGGCGTATGTGTACGTCACGGTGGGGTTGTTCTGTTTTGTTGTTTTTTTCTTTTTTCTTTTCTTCTTTTTCCCCAGAAACTCACTTTTTAATTATTTTGTTGCGTTTCATTTTCATTTTCATTTTGCCTTCAAGTCCAGCGTCGCAAGCATGGCAATACCCCTTCTCTACTAATGTTCAAAAATTAGCAGGGCATTATGGCGCGTGACTGTAATCCCGGCCACTCAGGAGGATGAGACTGGAGAATCGCTTCAACCCGGGAGATATTTGCTGCAGTGAACCCAGTGCACCACTGCATTCCAGCCTGGGTGGCTGAGCGAGAGTCCGTCTTAAAAAAAAAAAAAAAGACACAAGAAAGAACAGACCAAAATACTCCATTGTTTCAGAACATTTCCCCAGAAGACCCCAAACGCCCTGAGTCAGGTCAAGGAGGTGGTGCTTTATTTTACTTGTCTCTCTCTCTTTCTCTCTCTCTCTCTTTCTTCCCTAACTGTTATTTGTTTTTGAAGCATACATGTGCAAGATTGTTTCATAGGTAAACTTCTGAGTAGGGGGTTCAGTGTGCCGATGATTTCCTCACCCGGATTCTCAGCGCAGTCCCCTACAGTTTTTGTGTTCTGCTCGTTTTGCTTTGTCCTGAAGCTGTCTGTCCTTCCACACGTCCTCCCTCAGGTAGGCTCCTGCGTCTCTCGTCCCCCTAGTTCTTCGCATGCATTCTCATTATGTAGTTCCCACTTATGTGTGAGAACACGCGGTATTTAGATGATTATTGTTTCATCTTCGGTGGTGGTGATGAAAGAGGCATGACACTACATCGACCCTTAGGACGCTCCCCTCCATCCCCACCCTACACCCCCTCCCCACGCACACCGTCTTTCCTGCACCCCCTCCTGAAACCCAACAAACGAAGAAAGACAGAAATTAAAGTAAGAGTTCAGCCACCAAGGCGGTGGTGGGGGGGAATCTCAAACGGTGAGCAGGCGATGGGAGTATGGGGATGTCATGGCCTAGGTAGCAACAATAGGGGACCGACTTTCCAGCCCCCACCCCACACTCCCTAATCCTCAGCCATCACTTTGGAGTTCATCCAAGGAAGGCTGGTCTCAGGGACTACATACCTAACCTCTCTGGGCTTCTATAGGATAAGATGTTATGGCCAGACGCGGAGCTCACGCCTTTAATCTCAGCACTTTGGGTGGTCAAGTTGGGTGGTACGCCTCAGGTTGGGTGTTCTAGACCAGCCTGACCATTATGGAGCTACCTAGTCTCTATGAAAAAAAAAAAATTAGCCAGGCCTGGAGGTGTTTGCCTGTGGTTTCAGCTACTCGAAAGGGTGAAGACTGGAAAATCTCTTGAACACAGGCGGCAGAGGTTGCGGTGAGCTGAGGTCACGCCACTGAACTCCAGCCTGGGCAATAAGAGCGAAACTCCACCTGAAAGACAAAAAAAAAAAAAAAAAAATGAAAAGGAAAGAAGATTTTATGAAGTATAGTTTATACCAATCGGCTCTCACTGTACCTTGAGAGATTCCGAAAATCGCTACTTAATGACCGAAGAAAACACCAGCTAACAGGTTTTGGGGAAAATACACATCTTCCTAAAATTGGTAAAATCTACTTCAACTGAAAAGAGATAAGTAAAGTAAAAACTACAAACAAAACAAAACGTAAAAACAAACACAGACCAAGGCATCGCTTGTGGAAATATTATGTAAGCAAATTGTCACTTTTTAGAAAGCATTTCTATGTTGGGCAAATACCAGTAAGGCCCAGGGAAGATCTGTGAAATGTGGCAGCATGCACCATTTTAAGGGCTGAAATCCATCTGTGTGTCTCCTTTCATCACAACTCTTTTTTTTGGGCGGGCGGATACCTGGAGTTCATGAGTTCAAGAGCAGTCTGGGCAATATAGCAAAATTCTGACTACTAAAAAGGCAAATGTTAGCTGGGTATGGTGTCACACAGAACTATGTTCCAAGAGGAAGCATCACAAATACCCATGGTCCGCAGTCAAGAAATGAACTGAGTTTACAAGTTTGTAGTGTCATTGCTGCCTCGAAAGGTGAGATGCATATGTTTGTGTCACTGCGGGTTTCTATTTCTTCTTGGAAACTCACTTATTTTTAATTACTTTTTTTTTTTTTAGATGGAATCTGACTCTGTCACCCAAGCTGGAGTCCAGTGGCATGATCTGGGCTGACTGCAATCTCCATCTCCCGGCTTCAACAGATTCTACTACCTCAGCATATAGAGTAGCTGGGAGTAGAGGTGTGTGACACCACACCTGGTTAATTTTTGTATTCTTCATACAGACAGAGTTTGACTATGTTGGCCAGGCTGGTCTCAAACTCCTGACCTCGTAATCCTCCCACATCCGCCTAGCAAACTGCTGAGATGAGAGGAGTGGCCCACTGCACCCAGCCTACTGGTTTATTTTTAAAAATAGCAATTTGGGTCGGGCGCAGTGTGTCTCGCCTTTCTATATCAACCAACATTCTTTCTCGAGTCTGATGACCTGGGATCTCCCAGCACTTTGGGAGGACGAGGCCACAGGATTCCTGGAAGTTGGAGTTCAAGACCAGCCTGGGCAACATGGGAAAACCCTGTCTTTACTAAAAAGGTAAAAGTTAGCTGGGTATGGTGGCACGTGCCTGTTATCCCAGCTACTCGAGAGGCTAAGGCAAGAGAATCGCTGGAACCTGGGAGGCGGAGGTTGCAGTGGCCCGATACTGCGCCATGGCCTGACCAACAGAACAAGACTCCATCTCAAATAAATTAATAAATACGTTAGTTAATCGAAAAGTTTAAAAAGAAAACTTCAAGGACGTTGCAGGAATGCACGGGAATGCTTCTCTCATTCCTAAAGATCAGAGCAGAAACACAGTACCATCAGGTTGAGATACAGGCCATTGTGAATCTCTTCTCACTGTGCTCAACTGACACCAAAGAAGGGCAGGTTTCCATGCCGCCCGTTCATCATCACCGCTCTCGTCAAGTATAATTGCAGAGTCATGACTACACAGAGATCTCTCAACCCACCAACTGCGTCCTTACTTGTATGAGTGCAGTTGAAAGAATAAACAGGGCATTTAGCGAAGTAATCATCATATGTTCTTTTGTCTCTCGTGTCTCTCATGAAACCAATCACATTCGTGGACCACTTTTTCCCCACCCTTCGAACATCCACAGAGCACCAAAATAAAAGAGCAGTGAATGCCTTTTACGCGACAAGGAGGAAAAACAACAAAGTGAAAGTCACAGAGGCTTGTGATACACAGGGAGATACAGAATAAGGAGAATTTTCCAAAATCCACACAAAGACAGACAGACAGAGGGATGGAAAGAAAGAAATGAAGAAAAGAGAGAGAGAGTAAGGAAGATCAAGAAAAAGAAAATAGACAGACAGAGATGTAAAGGGAAGAAAGATGAAAAAGAAAACCAAAAGACATAGAAACAGAAAAAAAAAGAATGAGAAATGAGAGAAAAAAGGGAGGAAGAAAAAGAGAGAAGAAAAAGAAAAGACAGAAAGAAAGAGAAAGAAAAAAAGAGAAAAAATGAAGGAAATAAAAAAGAGGGCAGGGCATTGTGGCTCACACCTATAATCCCAGCACTTTGGGAGGCTGAGTTGGAAGAATTGCTAGAGCCTAGGACTTTGAGACCAGCCCTGGCAACACAGTGAGACCCCGTCTCTACTGAAAAAGAAAAGAAAAGAAAAAAATCCGGGCATTATGATGGCAGGCGCCTGTGGTCCCAGATCCTTTGGAGCCTGAGTTGAGAACATCGCTTGGGGTCGGGAGGTGGAGGCTGCAGCGGGTCTTGGTCAGACAAATGCTCTGCAGTCTGTTTCCGAGGCTGTCTTGAACTCCCGAGCTCTAGCGAACTGCCCTCCTCAGCCTCCGAAATTGCAGCCGCCACAACCAACGGTCCTGAAGGTGTCATTGACAGATTTTAGTAAACAGGGTGTTTCGCCATATTGCGAATTTGAACCCAGGCATTTGAAGCTGCAGTGACCCAAAGTCGCGCCACTGCACTGCACTCTGGGTGATAGAGGAAGACTCCATCTCTAAATAATTACATAAATAATAAAAACAATAACAATAATGACAAACAATAATACAAAGAAATAATAAGCAGCAATAATAATAAACAAACTCGTGGGAGTGAAAAACTATAAAAGGTAATTTAGATCACAGTTAATTGCAGTTTATTTCAAGGAATTTTTTTCTTTAACCTGTCTCTCTTACCTTCTGAAACACTCAGACTGGAGGGCAAGGCATCATCACGGCTCACTTCAGCTTCGACATCACAGAATTAAGTGATTCCTGTAGTCTCAGCCACTTGGAAGGCTGAGATAGGAAGATCACCTGAGGGAGTCCTGGAAAGTCGAGGCGGCTGTAAGCCGAGATTGCATTCTTACACTCCAACCTGCCTCAAAAACTACAAATAAATAAAAGGTAAATGTAAAACAACAGCAACTTCAGTGTGTAGAAAGAGGAGCAAGAAAAATAAAAGAAAAACAAAACGAAGAGAAACTGAAAGTACTGTGGAAACAGTTGGAGAGGAAGAAACAACGCAAGGAAAAAGCGACACCTAGTGAATGCGGGCGGTACTGCTGCTGACCAAAGTTATCTGGTCTACCTTAGAAATCCCAAGTTGACGGTCAAGTCCAACGCTTGCCGCGGACATCAGGTGGGCACGGCGACCAGAGACCTGAGGACTGGGGCCTTAGGCCCTGGTCCCAGGTCTTCCAGACAGAGAAGCCCGCGGCCGTGTCAACTGGATGTTGCTTGCTTCCCGCAGTCGGCTGATTCGCGGGCTGATCGGGAAGCCAAAGGCCAGCATCTAATCGACAGGGTCCACCCTAAAGACCAAATGTGGTGCTCGCGGAGGGAAGCGATCAGACGCAGTTGGAACCTTATCACACAGAACCGGCCCAGGTTTGAGGCCGTCTAACTTGGCAGACCTGCCAGCCATTTCCCCGCAGTCCGCTGGTTGACCCGGACAGAGAAGAGGAGTAAAGACACAAGGGTAGTGACTAGCTAGTCTTTCATCCCAGCACCCCTGAGGCGGGGAGAGGGACTGTGACCCCAACAGCCACCCACGGGCATCGCGCGAACACTACTCAGGCAGGGACTGCAGGGGCAAAACCTCTGACACCCGCGCCTCAGCCATTCGCACGAGGCTCGAAGAATCCGGTCCCAACTCGTGGAGGAATTCCCAGCGGGATGGGAGAAAGAAGCTCAATCAGAGAGGTGGAACATCGAGCAGGGGCGCCAACCCTACCTCGCAACCCCCAGCGCTGCATCTTGGAAAGCCTGCTGTTGGGGAACGACCCCTCCCAAATGCACGGCCGACGCCAATGTTATCTCGCGAGAGACAGCCCTGCATGCCCTGGGGCTCCGGGGCGGGGGGCCTGAGCAGGCCCGGGAACTAAGTCCCCGGGGGCAAAAGGAGGAAAGAAGGAAGGTAGAGGTCCAGGGCTGAATTATACAGGACACGCCACAACGCTAGTTTTCCCGCACACTGGTTGAGAGCCCCTTGTGTGGAGGGCTGACTTTCAATAGGTTGCAGTGAGGGAGTTGCTCTGCTCCATAGGAAACCCTGACCCAGAAGCAGGGCGTTTACCAATAGTTTAGTATCAGATTCCCCATAAGCATGTTATGTGACGGGCCAGGGAGCAAACGCCTTTCTGGCCGCACCCCGTTTTTTAGGATGGGGGGCCGCACCCCATTTTTTAGGATGATAAGACCGGAGCAAGGTCTTGGCGCACAGCGGGGCGGAGCCTCCGGCCGGTGGCAAAGGCTGGGGACTGGCTATCTGAGGCCAACCGAGTCTTGCCAGCGCTGCTGCATCCTTTCTTCTGGGCGGGATTCTGATTTAGAGGCGTTCAGTCATAATCCCACAGATGGTAGCTTCACCCCATTGGTTCCTCAGTCAAGCACATACACCAAATGTGTGAAACTTTGATTCCTCTCATACTCAGCAGGATTACCATGGTAGCAACACATGGGCAACAACACATGGAGAACACACGCAGTAAAACTAACCTGTCTCACATGGGTCTAACCATGATGTTTTCCAGGGCATGCACTCCGCTTTTAGATGAATCCATTCCACTTTGCCTTGCCCTTCACAAAGAAAAGAGAACTCGCTGGCCACAGTGGCTCACGCCTGTAATCCCGGCACATTGAAAGGCTGAGGCTGACGGATCACCTGATGGCAGGAGTTCGAGTCCAGCGTGGCCAACATGGTTAAACCCTGTCTCTATGAAAATACAAAAATTAGCTGGGCATAATAACGGGTGCCTGTTAACCCAGCTCCTCGGTAGGCTGAGGCAGTAGAATCGCCTGAAACCAGGAAGCGGATGTTGCAGTGAGCCGAGATTGCTCCATTGGGCTCCATCCTGAGCCTCTAAGCGAGACTCCATCTCAAAAAAGAAAAAAAAAAAAAAAAAAACGAGAACTCTCTCTAGGGCTCCCACCTGCTTTTGCAGAATCAGAGAATGTGATTGCCGGCAAAGGTTGAGGGGAGGGCGCAGGGGAAAGAAGGGGGAGGAGCAAAGGCTGGAGACACAATAGCTCACTCTGGAACCTTTCCAAGTTTAGTGGGGACAATTTTGAAACTAGCTGACTCTGGAAATTACACATAATTCATAGTATTATTGCTTCTTTGAAAGGTGAGCGGTTCATGATTTTTTTTCTCAGCATTTATTCATTTACTTGTAATAAGTGCATTTAGTTTCATACAGTTTACATACAACCGGTTTGACTGTATCTGCAGAGATTTAGGATAGTTTTTCTTAATGGTAAGCCCTAGGGTGGAGCTACAATGCACTTTCCGTTGTGAACCCTGAAAACTTGAGAGAGGTCTCAGTTAATTTAGAAAGTTTACGTAACCAAGGTTCAGGACGCATACCCGTGACAGCCTCAGGAGGTTCTGAGGACATGTGCCTAAGGTAAACAGAGAACATTATCGTTTTATACATTCTAGGGAGACATGAGACATCAATCAAAGTATGCAAGATGAACATTGGTTCGGTCTGCAAAGGCGGGACAAATTAGCAAACGCGGGAAGACTGAAAGTGAGGAGGGGACTTCCTGGTCAAAGGTAGTTAAGAGACAAATGGTTGCATTCTTTGGAGTTTCTAATTAGCCTCTCCAAAGGAGGCAATCAAATATACATTTATCGCTTGAAACCAGGAGGCGAATGTTGCAGTGAGCCGAGATTGCTCCACTGGGCTCCAGCTTGAGCATCTGAGCGAGACTCCATCTCAAAAAAGAAAAAAAAAAAGAGAAAAGAGCAGAGGAGTGACTTTGAATAGAATGGCAGGTTGGCCCTAAACAGTTGCCAGCTTGACTTTTCCCTTTACTTTAGTGATTTGGAAGCCTCAAGATTTATTTTTCTTTCACACACACAATTTTTAAAACCCAGGTAGAACTGTTCATGCTTACTAAAAAAAAAAAAAAAAAAAAAAAAGGAAGAAAGAAAAACAAATGATAGCCTAGGCGCCCTGGCTTATTTCTGTAAACTCAGCACTTTAAGAGGCTGAGGTGGGTGGATCATCTGAAGTCAGGACTTCGAGAACAGACTGGCCAACATGGCGAAATGACGTCCCTACTAAAAATACAAAAATTTGCTGGGAGTAGAGGCAGGCACATGTAATACCAGCTAGTGGGGAGGCTGAGGCAGGAGAATCGCTTGAATCCAGGAGGCAGAGGTTGCAGTGAGCCGAGATGGCGCCATTGAACTTCAACCTGGGCTACAAGAGCGAAACTGTCTCTGTCTCTAAATAAATAAAGAAATAAGCATTCCCAGCCAGGGTGGAGGTTTCCTAGGCAACAAGGCATAGGGGGAGGGACAGAAGGAGTGCCTCTGAGGTCAGGGTGGGGCCCGAGAGAAACCAGTTTTCCCTGGCTGTGCGCGGGCGGCCAGAAGTTTTGGTGTGATGCCTCCATTTTCAATAACAGTGACCGCTAGGTGACGCCAAATGACAACCGAACGACGTTCCAGCCTGGAATGAGTGGGGTCACTGGTTTAGGGGTTGTCAAGGAAGGAGAAAGAGATGGAGGCCCATGGGGTCGCCGGTCTTCTGATCTCTCCTGGATTACGTTTCCGGGCCCGAGACACCCTCCCAGACAATCCCCGCAGCTCTTCAACCAGTGTCCCTGGGGAAAAGATGATCAGTTCTCAGAAAACATTCAGACAGGCAAGAACATGCGCTCACGTAAGCACATGACAAGTATACAACTTTATATGTGATAGTGAGCTTTCTTTTGCAAAATGTCTTCGTGATGCATTTCACTACATAGTATTGTTGAAAACATCAAATTATAGGAGTGAGCACAGTGGCTCAAGCCTGTAATCCCAGGACTTCTGAAGACCAAGGTGGGAGGCTGGATAGAGGACAGGAGTTTGAGACTAACCTGGGCAACACATCGAGAGAGATTACCACTACTTAAAAATATTGCCCAGCATTGTGGCACATGCCTATATTTCCAGCTACTCAGGAAGCTGAGGCAGGAGGATTGCTTAAGCCCAGGATTCAACGTTGCAGTGAGTGAGCTGTGAACAGGCGACCAGAGTTTTTTTGTTCTCTACAGCTTACATTTTCAATAACGGTTGCCGCTAGTTGTCGCCCAAAGACAACTAAAACACGTGTCATCCTGGAATACGTGGGATCCCTGATGGAGGGGTGGGTGAGGAAGTAGGAGGGGACGGAGGCACACGGAGTCGCCCATTTTCTCATGATTCCCGTTGGACTACTTTTCTGGGTGCAGAGCATCCTCCCAGAAAGTCCCCAAAACCATTCAACCAGAGCTCCTGAAAAAAACAGTCGCACTCTCTGCCCATCGGATCATCCGGAATTTCCATTTATCCATTGAGAAGAATGCTCCATTGGAGTTTGGCGCAGGTTACGGTTACAGGCAGGGGCTGCCTCAGACAGAAGTCTAGTCTACAGAGTTTCACAGTAGACCCTAGGTTCAATCTCTCCCAAACTCAGAGTAGCAATATCTGTCACAGTAGAATGAAGTGCATGAAATGCGTGCTCCGAAGAAAGCGTGTTTCACACAGATGATTTGCACACTTATTCTTGTCCCTAGGCCAGTTGTTTCTTCCAAAATACCCATTACTCAATCGTTCACCCTCTCGTGAACCACTTAGGAATCTTGTTCTATGAATCCTGGAGCTTCAATATTTGACATCTTCAGAAGAACATGAATGCTATCCTAGCCTGGTAGCAATAAGGTACCATTTCTCAGAAAACACGCACCTATGCACACAAGCAAGCATGTATACACACATGCCCGCATCATATCTATACAATTTTACACTGTGATAGTGAGCTTTCTTTCCCTAGATAACTTCGTAATTGCTTTCGCTACATAGTATTGTTTAAAATATCAAATTATAGGTGCTGGGTGTGGAGGTTTGACTCTAGTCAAAGCACTTTGCAGGCAAAGCTGGGAGAATCGCTTGAGGTGGGGAGTGTGAGAACAGCCTGGAAAACATAGCAAAATCTAATCTCTACTAAAAATAAAACAAAATTAGTTAGGCGTTGTGGGGTGCACCTATAGTCTCAGCTACTTAAGAGGTTGAGGCAAGGATTGCTTAAGAACAGGAGTTTGAGATCCTATGATACTCACTCCTGCAACACTGCTGTGGCCCATGAATTGGCTACATGACCAATGACACGGAAGGAACATGATTACAAAATTCCTGGCAAAAAAAAAAAATAGAAAAACTTTTGTGGATAAACTTCTCTCACTGGGTAAATTACATAAAGATATGTCTGTTCTATATGAATCCCTACTAAGGGGTAACCGTATCAGAGCATGATTTTGATAATGATGTGGACAGAATGTCTTGTTCCGTGAGTATGGGTCATTCTTACTTCCCTGTCACCCCCATCATCACCCAATGGGCTTATAAACAAGGTGAACATAGTAGCAGAAATAGAAGCAATGCACGGGCTAAGCAATATGAACTTTGAATCCCAAAGGCCAGTCTGGCTACAGTCAATTCTGAATGTTTAATTTGACAGCAGCACAGATCTACACTGAGTCTTTGATATGACATCATTTCCAGGGTGATCCACCAGGCACCTGGTAGTAAATTTATTACGTTGAATAACTTTTATAATATAGGCGGCAACAGTTTGTACTCACTGGAGTAGGCTCTTACTATGGATACAAATTTGCTTTCCCTGGGTGGAATTCTGCCAAAACTACCCTCCATGGACTCACAGAATCCCTCATCCATCCCTATGATATTCCACTTAGCATTGCTCAGACCAAGAAACTCACTTCACAGCCAAAGTGTAGCAGTGTGCTCATCTTCACGGATGTCAGTGGACTTACCATGCTTTCCATTATCTGGAAGCAACTGGATTAATAGAATGATAGGTTTGTCAGCATTTCCAGCCACCCTAACACCTATATCTCCCTGTGCACCCTAAGGGACTCCACAGAATGGTGAATTAGATACATATATCCAAAGGAACTACATACATTTGTGTTCCCCCATCCAAACCTCCAATCGTATGTAGTTTAATATTTAAAGTTGCTGAAGTTAGCTGTAGACAAAGGACAAAAATTAGAAGTGCAGAGGGAATGGGTTCCTTCATGTGGGTAAAGGAGAGACTTACAAAACCTGCTTAATGTGGCTTTTTGCAGTCTTTTTGCTGCTCACAGCTGAACCACATGAACTTCTACTGTTTTGGACTCATCCAAACCTCAACATTAGCTTTAAGAGCTCCTTGATTTTCCAGCAGGAGAAAAGTGAACATGCAAAGCTCTCAGGTTCATTGTTATAATCCTCTCAAGGATCAGTCTCATTAGCAGACAGCAGAGTCTTGATCTCTTGCTTCACCAAACTAACCACTTGGCCGAGAGAATTTGCTGTTGGTCCTGGGGGAACTTCTCATATCCCTTGCAAGCTCTTCAAGTATTTGTTCCTTTTCCCCTTTCAGAAAGTTGTGTTTATCTCAGCATGCCATAGTCATCTCCAAAATTAAATAATTGTGACGTATCTAAGATTTTATAGCATTTGTAAACAACATATTAACCTTCCATTTTCATCGATGCTGGTAGAAGGCATGAGACACTGAAGTATGAAAAAAAATACCTACTATTTACTGCTTACCTGGAGGCAAAAGCCTCATATTTGTATTAGTTCTCCTTGTCCATACTACGTTTTTTGAAGGATTTCAAAAGGCTCATATGGACATTGTACATGGGGAAGATTTGTGTCATAGCTGAGCAGACTCAAGACTAAGAAACCTCAATCTTTTTAAAGTAGGTTACATGGAAGCCTGTCCAACCTTTGCGTCACAAAGAAAAATTGTCTTTATTATATTGATTGAGTAATTTATCTGCCATTCACCTGAAGAGAAAAACTACTACCCTTTTTCCAGGTTATTTGTGTACAAAAATCTTTGAAAAATAACGTGGAACAGGACAGGTATGTGATGTAATCCACAACAAAACAACAAACTCTAAGAGACTTGTGGAGAACTACATCTCAGTAGCATGCATCTTTCCCATTAAATGTTGCACTAAGCAATCCTGTGATAAAAGACAATCCATTGAAGACTTTCGACATGAAGACTAACCTCGGTTGTTTTGTGTCGTGGGATTGTTCAAGTGATTCTCCAGTGTCAGCCTCCAAAGTAGCTGGGAATACAGTCTCCCAAGACCACGCTCAGCTTATTTTTGTATTTTTAGTAGAGGCGGGGTTTTACCATATTGGCCAGACAGGTCTCGAACTCCTGATCTCAGGTGGTCCGCCTGCCTTGGCCTCACAAAGTGCTAGGAATATAGGCATGAGCCTCCGTGCCCGGCCCCAGAAATGAAAGTTCTAGTGCGCAGTAATGTAATTCTGACAGATAAATGACAGGTGAGAGTAAGTGAAAAATCTAACACAATTTAACATTTTTACATATTTAGACATATTGAAATTGGTTAGCTTATTGGAAAAAGTTAAATGACTAGTAATATATACAGCATATTTATTCTGAATGAATTGCTAATCTAGATTTGAGACATGAAATAATTATTTTTACAACACAGAAACATAAACTGCATTTCCATATACAATTAACAATTTGACAGTAAATTAAGAAAACAATTGTTCGCAACAACATTAAAATAATATAATTCTTAGCAATAAATTTAATAAGGAGGTAAATATCTTGTACAATAAAAAATACAGGATCAGAATGTTTATGAAAAAAACTAAAAAGGACTTAAATAACTGGCAACAAATTCCATGTTCCTGAACCGGAAGATTTAATGAAGTTAAGATGACAATACCACTGCCCAAAGGAGTGTACAGATGTACTGTAATCCCAAGTTTTCATTTTTCCAACTTTTCTTCTGCAAAAAGAAAATAGCTCATTTAAAACTTCATATGGAATTTGAACATCCTCTGAATGTACAGAATAATCTTGAAAAGAAGGACAAAATTAGGTGGCTCACAATTTTAAATTTGAAAACATAAAAAGCTACTAAAATTATAACAGTTTGATAGTGGCATAAGAACAATTGTGGAGATCAAATAAATAAAATAGATACTCCAAAAAACCCTTTCATAAATTATTGTTTGTCTTTTTAAAAGTGTGTCTTAATCATTATGTAAAGACAGTTTGTTACACAAGAAATGCTGGGAAAACAAGTCCACATTTAAACCAGTAAAGTTGAATCTTTATCACATTCCAAGTAGAAAAATTAAATAAAAATTGATTAAAGATATAAAAACAAGTGTTAAACTTTAGTGGTTTCTAATAGTTGTTTTTATTTAACTGGGGACAGCACTAACATGAACAACTTTATACACACAAACTAGAAAACTTTAACGAAATAAATAGATTCCTAGATATACACACTCTCTCAAGATTAAGCCAGGAAGACAATGATTTCCTGAACAGACCAGTAAAAAACTCTGATATTAAATAGGTAATAAGTAGCTTGCCAATCAAAAAAAAAAGCTCTGGACTTTATGGACTTACAGCCAAATTCTACCAAATGTACAAAGAAGAGCTGGTACAATTCCTACAGAAACTATACCCAAAAATTGAGAAGGAGGGTCTTCTCCCCAACTCATTCTATGAGGACAGCATGATCTTGACACCAAAACAGGCAGAGACACAACAAAAACACAAAAAATTAGCCGGGCTTGGTAGCAGACACCTGTAGTCCCAGCTACTTGGGAGGCTGAAGCAGGAGAATGGCGTGAACTCAGGAGGCAGAGATTGCATTAAGCAGAGATCGCGCCAGTGCAATCCACTCCAGCCTGGGCAACAGAGGGAGACACCGTCAAAAAAAAAAAAAAAAAAGAAAGAAGGGAAAGAAAACTTCAGGCCAATATTCTTGACGAACATCAATACAAAAGTTCTCAACAAAATATTTGGGAGGCAAATCCAGCAGCACATCAAACAGGTAATCCGTCATGATCAAGTAGGCTTCCTCCTTAGGACGCAAGGTTGGTCCATCATGTGCAAATCAATAAATGTAATACATTACATAAACAGAACTAAAAACAAAAAAAAGATGATTATCTCAATAGACGCAGAAAATAATAAAAGCCGTCTATAAGAAACCCACAGCCAACAATGTGTTGAATGGGCAAAAGCCGGGAACATTATTTTTTAAAACCAGTAGAAGGCAAGAATGCCCTCTCTTGCCATTTCTATTCAACTTAGTATTGACAGTACTGACCAGAGCAATCAGGCTAGAGAAAGAAATCCGAAGAACATCCAAATAGGAAGAGAGAAAGCCAAACTATTTCTGTTTGCAGATAACATAATTCTCTATCTAGAAAACCCTGTAGTTTCATCTACAAAGCTTCTTTAGTTAACAAACAGCTTCAGCAAAGTTTCAAGATACTAAATCAATGTGCAAAGATCACTAACATTTTTCTACACCAACGATAGCCACACTGACAGCAAAATCAGAAAGGCCATCCCATTCACAATTGCCACTAAAATAATAAAATATCTGGAAATGCAGCTCACCAGGGAGGTGAAAGAGCTCTACAATGAGATTTACAAAACACTGCTCAAAGAAATCAGAGAAGATACAAACAAATGGAAAACCATCCCATGCTCACGGATAGGAAGATCCAATATCACTAAAATGGCTATACTTCACAAAGAAATTTACAGATTTAATACTATTTCCATCAAACTGCCAATGAAATTTTTTACGGAGCTAGAAAAAACTATTTGAAAACTCATATAGGCCGGGGGCTGTGGCTCACACCTGTAATCCCAGCACTCTGGGAGGCCAAGGGGTGTGGATCATGAGGTCAGGAGATCCAGACCGTCCTGGCCAACATGGCAAAACTCCTTCTCTACTAAAAATACAAAAAATAGCTGGGAGTAATGGCAGCGCTTGTAATCCCAGCTACTTGGGAGGCTGAGGCAGGAGAATCCCTTGAACATGTATATAATATATACGTATGTTATACATATATTTATTATACTTTAAGTTCTAGGGTACATGTGCACAACGTGCAGGTTTGTTACTTATGTATACATGTGCCATGTTGGTGAGCTGCACCCATTAACTCGTCATTTACATTAGGTATATCTCCAAATGCTATCCCTCCCCCCTCCCCCCCCAACAACATTCCCCAGTGGGTAATGTTACCCTTCCTGTGTCCAAGTGTTCTCATTGTTCAATTCCCACCTATAAGCGAGAACATGTGGTGTTTGTTTTTTTTTGTCCTTGTGATAGTTTGCTGAGAATTATCTTTTCCAGCTTCATTCATGTACACACAAAGGACATGAACTCATCATTTTTTATGGCTGCATAGTATTCCATGGTGTATATGGGCCACATTTGCTTGATCCAGTCTATCATTGTTGGACATTTCGGTTGGTTCCAAGTATTTGCATTGTGAGTAGTGCCACAATAAACATACGTGTGCATGTGCCTTTATAGCAGCACCTAACATGACTTTTCTTATTTTCTTAGATTGTGAGTTTCTTTCAGACTAGGACTCTGCTGAGTCAGCTCTCTGTCCTCCCTGTACTCCTTATCACAGTGCTTGGCTATGACAGATGTTTAATAAATATTTGAGAAACACAGTAAATCCATATGAGTGACACAATGTTACGGAAAACTCTGGTCATTCAACAAATTCTATTCTCCCATTTATTAGGGACACAGCAGAATTACATTTCTTAGCCTCATTTGCATTAGATGTGGAAACGTGACCAGTTATTGTTAATGGTTGTAGAGTGAGATGGATGTGAGTCACATTAAGATGAGTCCATCAAGTCTTCTCGCATGCATTTCTTAAAGTACTTTATTTTCAGGGGACTGAACACAAACGGCAACCACGACTCATGGATGATGAAGACAAATAATGAAAGAACTTTGAGTTTCTGAATGACCACATGGAGAGGAGGTGCCTTTTCAATTTGGCCACCGAACAACTCTGTGATGTGTGCTAAAAAGTGTTGTTAATCTACTGCAAATTAGGGATGTGCTGGTATTTGACAGTTCAGCATAATCTAAAACATGCACTTAAAAACCTATTCACTGAATTAATTTAAAAGGCATTTTTATAGTACACTTAAGATGACAAACGTTAAGGTGGTCTTGCAATTTTTACCCTTCCATTTTGACCGTACTATGTTATATTAGAGAACTTGAGCCACATAAATGATCAGTTTTTATTGCGTCTATTTGATTCTTCTCTCTTTTCTTCTTTACTAGTCTTGCTAGCAGTCTATCAATTTTGTTGATCGTTTCAAAAACCAGCTCCTGAATTCACTGATTTTTTGAAGGGTTTTTTATGTGTCTATTTCTTTCAATTCTGCTCTGATCTTAGTTATTTCTTGCCTTCTGCTAGCTTTTGAATGTGTTTGCTCTTGCTTCTCTAGTTCTTTTAATTGTGATGTTAGGGTGTCAATTTTAGATCTTCTCTGCTTTCTCTTGTGGGCCTTTAGTGCTATAAATTTCCCTCTACACGCTGCTTTGAATGTGTCCCATAGATTCTGGTATGTTGTGTCTTTGTTCTCGTTGCTTTCAAAGAACATCTTTATTTCTGCCTTCGTTTCGTTATGTACCCAGTAGTCATTCGGGAGCAGGTTGTTTGGTTTCCATGTAGTTGAGCGGTTTTGAGTGAGTTTCTTAATCCTGAGTTCTAGTTTTATTGCAGTGTGGTCTGAGAGAGAGGTTTTTATAATTTCTGTTCTTTTACAATTTGCTGAGGAGTGCTTTACTTCCAACTATGTGGTCAATTTTGGAATAAGTGCGGTGCGGTGCTGAGAAGAATGTATATTCTGTTGATTTGGGGTGGAGAGTTCTGTAGATGTCTATTAGGTCTGCTTGGTGCAGAGCTGAGTTCAATTCCTGGATATCCTTGTTAACTATCTGTCTCATTGATATGTCTAATGTTGACAGTGGGTGTTAAAATCTCCCATTACTATTGTGTGGGAGTCTAAGTCTCTTTCTAGGTCTCTAAGGACTTGCTTTATGAATCTGTGTGCTCCTATATTGGGTGCATATATATTCAGGATAATTAGCTCTTCTTATTGCATTGATCCCTTTATCATTACGTAATGGACTTCTTTGTCTCTTTTGATCTTTATTGTTTTAAAGTCTGTTTTATCAGACACTAGGATTGTAACCCCTGCCTTTTTCTGTTTTCCATTTGCTTGGTAGATCTTCCTCCATCCCTTTATTTTGAGCCTATGTGTGTCTCTGCACGTGAGATGCGTTTCCTGAATACAGAACACTGATGGGTCTTGACTCTTTATCCAATTTGCCAGTCTGTGTCTTTTAATGGGAGAATTTAGTCCATTTACTTTTAAGGTTAATATTGTTTTGTGTGCATTTGATCCTGTCATTATGATGTTAGCTGGTTATTTTGCTCATTAGTTGATGCAGTTTCTTCCTAGCCTCGATGGTCTTTACAACTTGGCATGTTTTTGCAGTGGCTGGTACCGGTTGTTCCTTTCCATGTTTAGTGCTTCCTTCAGGAGCTCTTTTAGGGCAGGCCTGGTGGTGACAAAATCTCTCATCGTTTGCTTGTATGTAAAGGATTTTATTTCTCCTTCACTTATGAAGCTTAGTTTGAATGAATATGAAATTCTGGATTGAAAATTCTTTTCTTTAAGAATGTTGAATATTGTCCCCCACTCTTCTGGCTTGTAGAGTTTCTGCCGAGAGATCAGCTGTTAGTCTGATGGGCTTCCCTTTGTGGGTAACCCGACCTTTCTCTCTGGCTGCCCTTAACATTTTTTCCTTCATTTCAACTTTGGTGAATCTGACAATTATGTGTCTTGGAGTTGCTCTTCTTGAGGATTATCTTTTTGGTGTTCTCTGTATTTCCTGAATTTGAATGTCACCCTCCCTTGCTAGATTGGGGAAGTTCTCATGGATAATATCCTTCAGAGTGTTTTCCAACTTGCTTCCATTCTCCTCATAACTTTCAGGTACACCAATCAGATGTAGATTTGGTCTTTTCACACAGTCCCATATTTCTTGGAGGTTTTGTTCATTTCTTTTTATCTTTTTCTCTCTAAACTTCTTTTCTCACTTCATTTCATTCATTTGATCTTCCATCACTGACACCCTTTCTTCCAGTTCATTGAATTGGCTACTGAGGCTTGTGCATTCATCACGTACTTCTCGTACATTGGTTTTCAGCTCCATCAGGTCCTTTACGAACTTCTCTGCATTGGTTATTCTAGTTAGCTATTCATCTAATTTTTTTAAAGGTTTTTCACTTCTTTGCCATGGGTTTGAACTTCCTCCTTTAGCTCGGAGTAGTTTGATCGTCTGAAGCCTTCTTCTCTCAACTCGTCAAAGTCATTCTCTGTCCAGCTTTGTTCCATTGCTGGTGAGGAGCTGTGTTCCTTTGGAGGTGGAGAGATACTCTGATTTTTAGAATTTTCCGTTTTTCTGCTCTGTTTTTTCCCCATCTTTGTAGTTTTCTCTCCTTTGGTCTTTGATGATTGTGATGTACAGATGGGATTTTGTTGTGGATGTACTTTCTGTTTGTTAGTTTTCCTTCTAACAGTCAGAACCCTCAGCTGCAGGTCTGTTGGAGTTTGCTGGAGGTCCACTCCAGACCCTGTTTGCCTGGGTATCAGCAGTGGAGGCTGCAGAACAGCGGATATTGGTGAAAAGCAAATATTGCTGCCTGATTGTTCCTCTGGAAATTTTGTCTCAGAGGAGTACCCGGCCGTGTGAGGTGTCAGTCTGCCCCTACTGGGGATGCTTCCCAGATAGGCTACTCGGGGGTCAGGGACCCACTTGAGGAGGCAGTCTGTCTGTTCTCAGATCTCCAGCTGCATGCTGGGATAACCACTACTCTCTTCAAAGCTGTCAGACAGGGACATTTAAGTCTGCAGAGGATTCTGCTGCCATTTGTTTGGCTATTCCCTGCCCCCAGAGGTGGAGTCTACAGAGTCAGGCAGGCCTCCTTGAGATGCAGTTGGCTCCACCCAGTTGGAGCTTCCTGGCTGCTTTGTTTACCTACTCAAGCCACGGCAATGGTGGGCGCCCCTCCCCCAGGCTTGTTGTTGCCTTGCAGTTTGATCTCAGACTGCTGTGCTAGCAATGATTGTGGCTCTGTGGGCGTAGGACCCTCTGAGCCAGGTGCAGGATATAATCTCCTGGTATGCCGTTTGCTAAGACCTTTGGAACAGTACAGTGTTAGGGTGGGAGTCACCCGATTTTCCAGGTGCAATCTGTCACCCCTTTCTTTGACTAGGAAAGGGTATTCCCTGACCCCTTGCACTTCCTGGGTGAGGCGATGCCTCACCATGCTTTGGCTCACATGGGGTGCGCTGCACCCACTGTCCTGCACCCACTTTCTGACACTCCCCAGTGAGATGAGCCCGGTACCTCAGTTGGAAATGCAGAAATCACCTGTGTTCTGCATTGCCGATGCTGGGAGTTCTAGACTAAGGCTTTTCCTATTCGCCCATCTTGGCTCCACCCCCTCTCTAATTAAATTTTAATGTGAATAGTCTGAAATTATTTTTTCTATATCCTTCAGTTTTTTCATAATTCTTCTCTAACTTTTAGGTTCTATGTTTATGCCCCTTATATTTTCCAGAAATGTTTCTGAAGATTATTGCCCATTTTAAAGTTAAACTAATTTTTTATTTAGTTTTTTGTTTATTCTGTATTCTGCTTATCAATCGCTTGTCAGCTGTGTAGTTTGCACATATTTCCTCTCATTTTCTTTCTTTTTTTTTGAGACAGTCTTGCTCTGTCACCCATGCTGGAGTGCAGTGGCACGATCTCAGCTCACTGTAACCTCCACCTCCTGGGTTCAAGAGATTCCCTGGCCTCAGCCTCCTGAGCAATTGGGCTTTCAGGAACCACGCCCGGCTAATTTTTGTATTTTTAGTAGACACAGTGTTTCACCATGTCAGCCAGGCTGGTCTAGAACTCCTGACCTCAGGTGATCCACCAGCCTCAGCCTCCCAAAATACTGAGTTTATAGGTGTGAGCCATCGTCCCTGGCCAATAGAATATTATTTATACAATGGAGTATTAGCTAGCCATAAAAATAAATACAGAACTGATATGTGCCACAACATGGATAAATAATGAAAACACGCTCAAAGAGAAAAGCCAAAGAAAAAAGGTCACATATTATATTATTATATTTCTATAAAGTGACTAGAATAGAAAACTAGAAATAGAAGCCGGGTGTGATGGCTCACGCCTGTAATCCCAGCACTTTGGGTGGCCGAAGCAGGCAGATCACGACGTCAGGAGATCGAGACCATGCTGGCTAACATGGTGAAACCCCGTCTCTACTAAAAATACAAAGAAAAATAGCTGGGCGTGCTGACAGGCATCTGTAGTCCCAGCTACCCTGGAGGCTGAGGCAGGAGAATGGCGTGAACCAGGGAGGTGGAGCTTGCAGCGAGCCGAGATCGTGCCACTGCACTCTAGCATGGGTGACAGAGTGAGACACCAAAAAAAAAAAAAAAAAAAAAGGAAAGAAAGAAAGAGAGTACTAGAGATAGAAAGTCAATCAGTGGTTACCAAGGAAATTCGGTGGATGAATGATAAATTACTGCTTAATGGATATGGAGTTTTTTTTGTGAAAGGGTGATGAAACTATTTTGGAATTTGATAGGGGTGACAGTTGCATAGCATTGTAAATAAACTGAAAAGCACTGAATTTTACACTTTATATTAGATAGTATGTAGAACTCTATATTGTCTAAATTTTAGCTGACTAAAACATTTTAACAAGCAAAGAAAAATAAACTGTAGGCTTTGTGTGGTGGCTCACACCTATAATCTCAGTTTTTTTCAGAGGCTGATGCAAGCAGATCACGAGGTGAAGAGATCGAGACCATCCTGGACAACATGGCGAAACCCCGTCTCTACTAATAATACAAAAATTAGCCAGGCTTGGTGGCACGCCCTTATAGTCCCAGCTACTCAGGAGGCTGAGGCAGGAGAATCACTTGAACCTGGGAGGTGGAGGTTGCAGTGAATCACTTGAACCCGGGAGGTGGAGGTTGCAGTGAGCCGAGATCATGCCACTCCACTCCAGTCCCGTGAAAGAGCGAGAAGAGAGAGACTCTGATAAAGAAAGAAAGAAAGAAAGAAAGAAAGAAAGAAGAAAGAAAGAAAGAAAGAAGAAAGAAAAAAGAAAATAAGGAAAGAAAGAAAAGAAAGGGAGGGAGGAAGGAAGGAGAAAGAAAGAGAAAGAAAGAAAGAAAGAAAGAAAGAAAAGAAAGGAAGGAATGAAGGAAGAGGAAAGAAAGAAAGAAGAAAGAAAGAAACGGAAGGAAGGAATGAAGGAAGAACAAAAGAAAGAGAAAGAAGAAAGAAAGGAAGAAAGAAAAGAAAGGAAGGAGAAAGAAAGAAAGAGAAAGAAAAAGAAGGAAAGAAAGAAAGAAGAAAGAAAGAAAAAGAAAGAAGAAAGAAAGAAAGAAGAAAGAAAGAAAGAAAGAAAGAAAGAAAGAAAGAAAGAAAGACAGAAAAAAGAAATACTATGAAACAGGAGGGCAAATGAGGGAGCCCTGGAAAACGATTCTGTCTCCACTTTCAAAAAAGATCGCCCCCTCCAAAAAAAAGATCCCCAAAGCTCTGACCGAGAAGGTCTTCTCCTTGGATCCCAGAGCAGTGGTCTGAGGATCTGTCACATTCTACACCAGCCTGAGTGCTCAGTCCCGCACACCCCTAGGCCACTTTCTGCTCTGAAAGACCTTCGGAGGACACAGAGCAATTTCCAAAGTTCTGAGAGTACAGTGGTAATTGATAGACAGCAAGGTCAACTCACTTCTTTAAGCCTTTCAAATTTAAGGGTCACACAGTTCAATTATGTCAATTTTTACAGGGAAAAATTGAAGGTTTTCACTACTGTATTCCTCTCCATATTGGGTGTAGGGGGATTCCTTACCATTTTAATTATGCAGATTAATGAATGGAGAAAGTAAGGTTTTGTCCTTGGAAAGCTATCCTGGTGTTGGCTGCAGCCCAGTCAGATCCATGGAAGCCTTGAGCCTCTCAAGCCATCAGCCTATTGCCTTCCCCTGCCCATGTTATGGGTCCTGGGCATGTTACCAGAAGATGGGGTGCTTCTACCCCATGACAAAGCTGCCCCTATCCTCTATCTTTTTTCTTCTCATCACTCCATCAGCGTTAACTCCTCTTATGACCTTTAGCCTGAGAAGTCTGTGTGTGTATGCACAAACCTGTGGAAGTCTAATGATGCAGACATGAGTTTGCTTCATATGACGAGAAAATTGGCAAAAATCCCCAGGATCTCAGGGACTCATTCCCAAAACAAACCCCATGAGAGTGTTGAGCCCTGGCCTAGGAGGTCAGAATGCTCTTTTTTCCCTTGGACTCTGCCCACTTCATCATCTCTGGGCCAGTCCCTGCTTCTCTCCAGACCTCAGTTTTTCAGATATCCAATGAGATGTGAGATGTCAAAATGCTTAAGCCACAGCTCAACATGCATATGGTCTAACGTCCCTACCAACTAGGATTGGTGTAGCAAGGCTGTGATCAGGGTGTTCCCAGATCTTCCTCACTTGGGAAGAAATAGATGGGTTCTGCACTGGGCACATGGACCTTCTGTTCAAGAAGGGTCATACACACTTGATCTTTCAAGGCCCACAGACAATGTGTGCAAGTGAGCCCCACCTCCACCCCCCAACAGCTTCCCATGGAGCATAACAATATGTCCCCTGTCCTCTGAGTCTGGAAAGTAGTGACATCCTCACTTAACACATGGATTGATGGACCCTTTGTATAATTAAATCTTCCCCACTACTGCCTCCACCACTACGCAGATAGAAAAAAGTCTTAGGAAAGTGACATAACATCCAGAATTACACAGAGATTCCATGGCAAAGCTAGCACTTTAGTTAGGATTACATTTTCCTACATATAGAAGAAAACCCAGACCGGGTGCTGTAGTTCACGCCTGTTATCCCAACACATTGGGAGGTTGAGGCAGACGGATCACCAGAGGTCTGGAGTTTAAGACCAGCCTGACCAACATAGAGAAACCCAGTCTCTACCAAAAATACAAAATTTTCCAGGCGTAGTGGTGCATGCCTGTAATCCCTGCTTCTTGAGAGGCTGAGGTAGGAGAATCGCTTGAACCCGGGAGGTAGAGATTGTGGTGAACCGAGATCGCGCCATTGCACTCCAGTCTGGGCAATAAGAGTGAAACTCCGTCTCAAAAAAATTAAAAAAGAAAACCCAATATAATAGTGCAGATAAGAGAGAGAATGCTTTCTTTCTCATAAATAAGGATGTTAGAGCTGGGCAGTCTGACTCTGAACTGTACACGAAGGTAGTCAAAAATAGTCTGTCATTTTGCTAAAATGTTTTTCTTTTTTGAACTTTGTTTTAAGTTCAGGGGTATATGGGCAGGATGTGCAGGTTCTTTAAATATGGAAACATACGTCCCGAAGTTTGGTTGTGCAGATTGTTTTATCACCCAGGTATTAAGTCTACTAACTATTAGTTATTTTTTCTGATTCTCTCCCTCCTCTCACCCCCTACCTCCTGATAGGCCCTGGTGCGTGTTGCTCCCCTCCATGTTTCTGTGTGTTCTCATCATCTACCCTCCACTTATAAGTGAGAAAATGTGGTATTTGGTTTTCTGTTTCTGTTAGTTTTTTAAGGATAATGGCCTCCAGCTCCATCCATGTCCCTACAAAGGACATAATCTTGTGCTTTTTTATGGCTGCATAGTACTCCATGTTGTATATGAACTACGTTTTCTTCAACCAGTCTATTATTGATGAACATGTAGGCTGATTTGATGTCTTTGCTATTGTGAATAGGGCTGTGATGAACTTGTGCGTGCAGGTATCTTTATAATAGAATGACTTATATTTGTTTGGGTATATACCCAGTAATGAGATTGCTAGGTCAAATGGTATTCTTTTCTTTAGGTCTTTGAAGAATCACCACACTGTCTTCCACAACGTTTGAACTCGACCAACAGGGTAAAAATGTTGCTTTTTCTCCACAACTTTGTCAGCATCTGTGATTTTTTGATTTTTTCATGGTAACCATTATACCTGGTATAAAATGATATCTCATTGTGGTTTGGATTTACATTTCTCTAACGGTCAGTGATGTTGAACTTCTGTTTCATACGCTTATTGGCTGCATGTATGTCTTCTTTCAAGAAGTGTTTCTGTGTGTCCTTTGGCCAATTTTTAATAAGGTTGTTTGTTTTTCTCGTGTAAATTTATGTTCCTTATGGATGCTAGAAATTAGATTATTGTCAGATGCACAGTTTGCAAAAATTTTCTCCCATTCTATACATTGTCTGTTTACTCTGTTGATAGTTTCTTTTGCTGTGCAAAAGCTCTTTAGTTTAATTAGATCCCATTTGTCAATGTTCTCTTTGTTCTAATTGCTTTTGCGCCTTCATCATAAAATATTTGCCCATGCCTATGTCCTGAATGGTATTGCCTAGGTTGTCTTCCAAAGTTTTTATAGTCTTGGGTTTTACATTTAAACCATGTTGAGTTTATTGTTGTATATGATGTAAGGAATCTTTCTTTATTTTTTAAATTTAAATTGGGTTCTGAAGTACAAGTGCAGAATGTGTAGGTTTGTTACATTGGTATATGTGTGCCATGGTGGTTTACTGCACCTATCAGCCCGTTATCCAGGCTTCAAGTCCCACATGCATTAGCTAGTTATCCTAATGCTCTCCCTCCCTTCGACTCCCATTCCCTGACTAGCCCCAGTTGTGTTGTTTCCCTTCCAGTGTCCATGTGTTCTTATTGTTCAACTCCCACTTATGAGTGAGAATATGCGGTGGTTAGTTTTCTGTTCCTGTGTTAGTTGCAGAGGATGATGGAGGAAGGGGTTCAGTTTCAATTTTTTGCACATGGCTAGGCAGTTATCCCAGCACCATTTATTGAGTACAGAGTCGTTTTTTCATTGCTTGTTTTTGTCAGGTTTGTCGAAGATCAGTTAGTTGTAGGTGTGCAGTCTTATTTCTGGGTCCTCTATTCTGTTTCATTGGTCTGTGTGTCTGTTCTTGTACCAGTACCATGCTGTTTTGGTTTCTGTAGCCCTGTAGCACAGTTTGAAGTTGGGTAGTGTGATGCCTCCAGCTTAGTTCTTTTTGTTTGGGGTTGTCTTGACTATTCAGGCCTTTGTTGGTTCCATATAAATTTTAAAATAGCTTTTCTAGTTTTGTGAAAAATGTCATTGGTAGTTTAACGGAAATACTATTAACTCTATAAATTTCTTTGTGGAGTGTGTCTACTTTAACAATATTAACTCTTTCTATCCATAAGCATGAAATGTTTTTCTATTTGTTTATGTCATGTCTGATTTCTTTGAGAAGTGGTTTATAGTTCTCCTTGTAGTGGCCTTTCACTTCTCTTGTTAGATACATTCCTTGGTATTTTATTCTTTTTGTGGTAACTGTGAATGAGTGTTCATTCACGATTTTGCTCTTGGCTTGACTGTTGTTGGTATATAAGGATTTAGTGCTAGTGATTTTTGCCCATTTATTTTGTATCTTGGGACTTTGTTAAAGATATTTATCAGCTTAAGAAGCTTTGGGGTTGAGACAATAGGGGTTTTCAAGATATAGAATCATGTCTTCTGACATCAGGTGTTGTTTAATTTCTTTTCTTTCAATTTGAATGCCTTTTTCTCTTACCTGATTGCTCTGCCCAGTACTTCCAATACTATCTGAAATAGGAGTCATGAGAGAGGGCATCCTTGTCTTGTGCCCGTTTTAAAAGGGAATGCTTTCAGCTTTTGCCCTTTCAGTATGATATTGGCTGTGGGTTTGTCATACATGGTTCTTATTATATTGAAGTATGTTTTTTTCAATACCTAGTTTATTGAGAGTTTTTACAAGAATGGATGTTGAATTTTATGGATGCAAAGATTTATCTGCATCTATTCAGACAATCATGTGGCTTTTGTCTTTAGTTCTGTTTATGTGATAAATCACATATTGATTTGTGTACGTTGAATTAAAGTTGCATCCCACAGATGGAGCCTACTTGATTGTGGTGGATAAGCTTTCTGATGCGCTGCTGGATTTGGTTTGCCCCTATTTTGTTAAGAATGTTTGCATAAATGTTCATCAAAAATATTGGCATGAAGTTTTTTTTTTTCTTTTTTTATTTTATTATTATTATTATACTTTAAGTTTTAGGGTACATGTGCACAATGTGCAGGTTAGTTACATATGTACGCATGCACCATGCTTGTGTGCTGCACCCATTAACTCGTCATTTAGCATTAGGTATATCTCCCAATGCTATCCTTCTCCCCTCCCCCCTCATCACAACAGTCCCCAGAGTGTGATGTTCCCCTTCCTGTGTCCATGTGATCTCATTGTTCAATTCCCACCTATGAGTGAGAACATGCGGTGTTTGGTTTTTTTGTTCTTGTGATAGTTTACTGAGAATGATGATTTCCAATTTAATCCGTGTCCCTACAAAGGACATGAACTCATCATTTTTTATGGCTGCATAGTATTCCATGGTGTATATGTGCCACATTTTCTTAATCCAGTCTATCATTGTTGGACATTTGGGTTGGTTCCAAGTCTTTGCTATTGTGAATAGTGCCGCAATAAACAAACGTGTGCATGTGTCTTTAAAGCAGCATGATTTATAGTCCTTTGTGTATATACCCAGAAATGGGATGGCTGGGTCAAATGGTATTTCTAGTTCTAGATCCCTGACGAATTGCCACACTGACTTCCACAATGGTTGAACTAGTTTACAGTCCCACCAACAGTGTAAAAGTGTTCCTATTTCTCCACATCTCCTCCAGCACCTGTTGTTTCCTGACTTTTTAATGATTGCCATTCTAACTGGTGTGAGATGGTATCTCATTGTGGTTTTGATTTGCATTTCTCTGATGGCCAGTGATGGTGAGCATTTTTTCATGTGTTTTTTGGGTGCATAAATGTCTTCTTTTGAGAAGCGTCTGTTCATGTCCTTCGCCCACTTTTTGATGGGGTTGTTTTCTTCTTGCAAATTTTTTGAAGTTTTGTTTTTTTTCTTGTGTGTCTGCCAGGTTTTGGTACCAGGATGATGTGGTCTCATAGAAAGAGTCGGGAAGGAAGCCCTCTGTTTCAGTTTTTTGAAATAATTTTAGTGGGAATTGTACCAGTTCTTCTTCATAAATGTCATAACCTTCAGCTTTTAATCTTTGTGTTTCTGATCTTTTTGTGGTTTGTAGGCTATTTATTACTGCCTGAATTTCAGAGCCTGTTGTTTGTCTTTTCAGGGATTCAATTTCTTCCTGGTTTATTCTTGAAGGGTGTATGTGTCCAGAAATTTATCCATTTCTACTGAATTTGTTATCTTATAGGCATAGAGGTGTTTATGATATTTTCTGATGGTTATTTTTATTTCTGTGGGGTCAGTGGTAACCCTTATTATTTCTGATTGTGTTCATTTTAATTTTTGATATTTTCTTCCTTATTAGTCTACTACTGGTGTATTTATATTATTGGTTTTTTCAAAGAAAAAGAAACAGCTCCTGAATTTGTTGATCTGTTGAATGGTTTCTCTTGTCCCTATCTCCATCATTTCAGGTCTGATTTTGGTTATTTCTTGTCTTCTGCTAGCTCTAGAACTTCTTTGCTCTTGTTCCTGTAGTTATTTTTGTTGTGAAGTTGTAACTTGAGACATTTCTGGCATTTTAATGTGGGCATTTAATGCCATAAATTTTCATCTTAATACTGCCTTAGCTGTGTCCCAGAGATTCTGGTATGTTTTGTCTTTGTTCTCATTGGTTTCAAAGAACTCCTTGATATCTGCCTTAATTTCATTATTTACCCAAAAGTTATTCAGGAGCAGGTGATTCAATTTCCATTTAATTTTATGGTTTTCAGTAAATTATTTCATCGTGAGTTTTAATTTGATTGTGCTGTGATCTGAGCCACTGTTTATTATGATTTCAGTTCTTTTGCATTTGCTGAAGAGTGTTTTACTTCTGGCTAAGTGACCAATTTCAGAGAAAGTGTCATGTAGTGATGAGAAGAATGTATATTCTGCTGTTTTCATGTGGAGAGTTCTGTAAATATATATCATGTCCATTTGATCCAGAGCTAAGTTCAGGTCCTGAACACCTTTGTTAATTTTCTGTCTCAATAATCTTTCTAATACTGTCAGTGGGATGTTAAAGTCGGTCACTATTATTGTGTGGTGTTCTAAGTCTCTTTCAAGATATCTAGAAACTTGTTATATGAATCTGGGTACTCTTGTGTTGGGTGCATATATATTTAGAATAGTTAATTCTTGTTGAATTGAATTCTTTGCCATTATGTAATGACCCTCTTTGTTGTTGTTGTTGTTGTTGTTTTTAATCTGTGTTGGTTTAAAGTCTGTTTTGTTGGAAAGTAAGACTGCAACCCTTGCTTTTTTAGGTTTTCCACTTGCTTGGTGAAATTTCCTCCATCCCTTTATTTTTAGCCTATGTGTGTCCCCGCATGTGAGATGGGTGTCTTGAAGAGCATACCAATGGGTCTTGGTTTTTATACAATTGCCACCCTGTGTGTTTCAACTGGGGCATTTATCCCATTTACATTTAAGGTAAGTATTGTTATGCGTAGATTTTATCTTGTTATCTTGATGCTAGCTGGTTATTTTTATTTTTCAGACTTGTTTATGTGGTTGATTTATAGTGTCAATGGTCTGTGTACTTGAGTGTGTTTTTGTGGTGGCTGGTAATAATTTTCCCTTTCCAAATTGGTGCTTCCTTCAGGAGCTCTTGAAAAGCATGTCTGGTGTTCATGAATTAACTCGGAATTTGCTTGTCTGAAAGGGATGTTATTTCTCCCCAGATTAAGCTTAGTTTGGCCAGATATAAAATTCTGGCTTAAAGTTTATTTTCTTTAAGAACGTTAAATATTGGCCCCCAATCTCTTTTGGCTTGTAGGGTTCTCACTGACAGCTCTGCTCTTAGTCTGATCAACTTCTTTTTGTAGGTGACTTGGCTTTTCTCTGCGGCTGAGCTTTTTTTTCTTTTTTTTTCTTCCATTTCAAGTTTGGGGAATCTGACGTTCACGTGTCTTGGGTATGATTTTTTCTTGGAGTATCTTACTGAACTTCTCTCCATTTTCTGAATTGTTGGCCAGTGTAGCAAGGTTGGGGAAGTTCTCATTGATGATATCCTGAAATATGTTTTCCTGATTGGTTCCATTCTCCCCAGCTCTTTCAAGTACACCAATCAGTTGTAGATTTGGTCTCTTTACATAATCCCATATTTCTCAAAGGTTTTGTTTATTCCTTTCATTCTTTTTTTCTATTCTTCTCTGCATGTCTTCTTTCAGAAATACAAACTTCAAGCTCTGAGTTTCTTTCCTCATTAATACTTGTGATTGCATTATGAAATTTTTGTATTGTGTTTTACAGTGCTATCGGGTTGGTTAGTCTCCTCTCTATCCTGGCTAATTTGTTTGTCAGCTCCTGCAATATTATATTGTAATTTTTAGCTTTCTTGTATTGAGTTAGAGCATGCTCCTTTAGATCAGTGAAGTTCATTTTTATCCACATTCTGGGGTCTACTTCTGTTATTTCAGGGATCACAGCCTCACCCTTATTCTGAACTCTTGCTGGAGAAGTAGTGTGGTCATTTGGGAGAGGGAGAGCACCCTGATTTTTGAGTTTTTAGTATTCTTGTTGTGATTCTCACCTTTGTGTGCCTATCTATCTTTAATATTTGAGGTTGCTGGCCTTTGAATGAGATTTTTGTTTGTTTCTCTTCCTTTTAACTGTTTGGCCATTTTGTGTGGGGCTGCTGTAGTTTGTTGGGCATCTGCTCCACTCTCTTGTCACCTCGGATTTTCCAGTATCTGGGGGTATCACCAGTGAAGGCTGTGAAACAAGAAAGATAGCAGCCCACTCCCTTCCCTGGGAGCTCCATCCCAGGGCGGGTGCAGACATGTTGAGGGCTCGAACACACCTGTAGGAGGTGACTGGAAACCCCAGTTGGTAGGTCTCACCCAGCTAGGAGGAATAGGATTGGGGACCCACTTAAGCCATCTAGCCCCACTTTCATAGATCAGCCATGCTGTGCGGGGTACCATTTCTGCCCTTCATCAGATTGGGCTCTCCAAAGCCTGGAGGCTGAAACAGCAAAGATGGTGGCCAACCCCTCTCTCTAGGAACTCTGTCCCAGGAAGTTTTTAAACCTCTGCCAGCCAGACAACATCAGTGGGAGTTGCTGGAGGCCCTGGTTGGGAAGTTCCACCCAGAGATGCAGAGCATATTAGGTCCCTTAAAGAAGCAATCTGATCACATTATGGCAGATCCACTGTGCTATGCTGGGGGATTCCTTCTTCCCTGGGATGGTTTGGACTCTCCTAAGCCCACTGATTGTTATGGCTGAGTTCTCCAAACAACAAATATGAAGACCCACTGCTCCCAATGTGCACTGCATCCAGGAATAAATCAAAACTCTGCCTGCCGGAGAATATGGAAGGGGCTGTCTGGAGGCTCTGGTAGGAGGCCCCACTCTGAGATGAAAAAGGTATCTGGGTCCCACTTCAAGAAGTAGTCCGGCCAAACTTTGGGAGGGCCAATGTGCCGTGCTAAGGGATTTCTTCCATCTGCCATGAGTTTTTTTTTTTTTTAACTCTCCTAAACCTCCAGGCTGGAATGGCTGAGTCATCCAAACAGCAAATATAGCAGCCAGCCCCTGCCTCCAGGAACGTTGTTCCATCCCAGGTAATTGCAATGCTGTTGCTGGGGGCTGGATGGAATTCCAAGCCAGTAGGTCTTATCCTGTGAGGCGTCATGGAAGTGGGGCCCACTGATGCTGCTCAGGCCCATGGATTCAGCTTCCTTTCTAGGGGCATTTACGGAGATCCAACCTCCCACCTTGTCTGAGTTGCAGTCACCTTTGCCAGAGATCTCAGAGCCAAAGTATGTAAAGCTCCTGCGATTCTGTTTGTGTCTGAGCAGTTGTTCTGCCGGGAACACGCAGCTCTGTGTATCAGACCAAAGGCCCTGGTGGAATAAGTTTACGAGAAAATCTCCTGACCCGAGAGTTGCAAAGATCCATGGGAGAAGTGTGGTTTCTCAGGGTCACGTATTTGCTCACCACTTCCTTGGGCAGGATAGGTTCCCTTTGGTCTGTGTTACTCCCGGGTGGGCGTTTGCCATGCCCTTCTTTTTCCCATGGGTTGAGCTGTTTCCTTCATTAGTCCCACTGCAAATATCTGGGTGTTTCAGTTGATGGTGCTGTATTTATTTTCCCTCTTTGTTTCTTTTCATGAAAGCCACACACCATAGCTACTTCTAGTCAGCCCTCTTGGCACACTTTGCTACAATATTTCAGTAGATGGTTTTTATCCTGTAGGCTGTCTCATGGTCCCATATGGCTGGCTGTAGGAGCACAAGCCTGCACCAGCAACCATGTCCATTTCAAAGGCTAAGAAGTAGGAAAGATGCAAGGTCAAAGTGGCTTGCACAGCTGCATCAGCTCCATCTGAGGAATCTCCCTGAAGTCCCATCAATACTTATGGTTACAACCAATTGTCTTGAATAGGGGTCAGAAACTATAACCTTTGTGTTTGTAAGTTGCTGTTTGAATAAAACTAAATTTCTAATTTTGTGTTTTGTTTTGTTTTGTTTTGTTTTGTTTGATGGAGTCTCACTCTGTCACCAGGCTGAGTGCAGTGGTGTGATTTTGGTTCACTGCAACCTCTGACCCTTGGGTTCAAGTGATTCTCCTGCCTCAGCCTTTCAAGTAGCTGGGATTACAGGTGTGCTTGCATCACCATGCCCAAAATGCTGGGATTACAGGCATGAACCACCACACCCAGCCCTGACTCTCTGTTTTTAAGAGTGAAAGCAAAATTAAAACTGTGGCAATGACAAGTGCTCTTTTTCTACACTAAATTCAAAGGTAAACAGAAGAAGATGGAGGTTTTCTCAGGTGAAGTGGGCACTCATTTTTCAAACAAAGCCTTTTTTGGTGATTATTTATTTTCAGATCAGATGGGAAAAAAATCTGGGTTCTTGTAAGCACTCCCTTTATGACCAAATGTTAGTCAAGCTTAACTGAACCCTCTTTTTGACTAAGCCAACCTTGACTTCTTGCCCTGCTCCTGGTTTGAGAGGCTCACTTTCATAAATCCTGCTAATACTGTTTAGTAAAAATCCACATATCCCTTATGTCTACTAATATCGTGATTCCCTTTCTTTGATATTTAAGTCCTTAGCCAACCTGTAACCAGGCTTCTGCTATAAAAAGTTCCTCTTCCTCCTTTGGTATTTTATCAAATGTTTTTCAATAATTCTTATCCACTGATTTATTCTGCTTATTGACTATAAATTCTTCGTTGTCTGTGTTCAGAGTTATGATCAATTTCTGAACTGAACCCTATTACGATGGCCATAAAATCTACTACAATAGTATTAATGTCTTTCTTCCCAATTTTTAACAAACATCAGAAATTTTTATTTCACAGTTTCCCAACAGTATGTTTGAGTATAAAAACAGTTTTCACTTTGCCCCCAAAAATGATGTGATCCACTGTGTAGATGTGTATGCCTGATCCTTGTGTCCAAAAAAGTATGTTTTTATTTAAATGGGGTGAGGGTGACAGATTATAGAGCCAATGTTTTCCTAAAATGCTGAGTCATAATTGAAACCATACAAATCAAGAATATAGAATGCTTGGACTCCAACATTTTTAACCCTGAGGATATTTTGATGTCCATAATTTATATTACTGTGAAAATAATGCACAAGAAAGAAAACTGATAGCTCTCCCTCTCCCTCTCCCTCTCCCTCTCCCTCACCCTCTCCGTCTCCCCACGGTCTCTCTCTCCCTCTCTTTCCACGGTCTCCCTCTGATGCCGAGCCGAAGCTGGATGGTACTGCTGCCATCTCGGCTCACTGCAACCTCCCTGCCTGATTCTCCTGCCTCAGCCTGCCGAGTGCCTGCGATTGCAGGCGCGCGCCGCCACGCCTGACTGGTTTTCGTATTTTTTTGGTGGAGACGGGGTTTCGCTGTGTTGGCCGGGCTGAGCTCCTAACCGCGAGTGATCCGCCAGCCTCGGCCTCCCGAGGTGCCGGGATTGCAGACGGAGACTCGTTCACTCAGTGCTCAATGGTGCCCAGGCTGGAGTGCAGTGGCGTGATCTCGGCTCGCTACAACCTCCACCTCCCAGCAGCCTGCCTTGGCCTCCCAAAGTGCCGAGATTGCAGCCTCTGCCCGGCCGCCACCCCGTCTGGGAAGTGAGGAGCGTCTCCACCTGGCCGCCCATCGTCTGGGATGTGAGGAGCCCCTCTGCCTGGCTGCCCAGTCTGGAAAGTGAGGAGCGTCTCTGCCCGGCCGCCATCCCATCTAGGAAGTGAGGAGCGCCTCTTCCCGGCCGCCATCACATCTGGGAAGTGAGGAGCGTCTCTGCCCGGCCGCCCATCATCTGAGATGTGGGGAGCACCTCTGCCCTGCCGCCCCGTCCGGGATGTGAGGAATGTCTCTGCCCGGCCGCCCCGTCTGAGAAGTGAGGAGACCCTTTGCCTGGCAAACACCCCGTCTGAGAAGTGAGGAGCCCCTCCGCCCGGCAGTCACCCCGTCTCGGAAGTGAGGAGCATCTCCGCCTGGCAGCCACCTCGTTCGGGAGTGAGGTGGGGGGGTCAGCCCCCCGCCTGGCCAGCCACCCCATGCGGGAGGGAGGTGGGGGGTCAGCCGCCCGCCCGGCCAGCCGCCTCCTCCGGGAGGGAGGTGGGTGGGTTAGCCCCCCGCCTGGCCAGCCGCCCCATCCGGGAAGTGAGGGGCGCCTCTGCCCGGCAGCCCCTGATGGGAAGTGAGGAGCCCCTCTGCCCGGCCAGCCGCCCCGTCTGGGAGGGAGGTGGGGGATCAGCCCCCCGCCCGACCAGCCACCCCTTCTGGGGGGGAGGGAGGTGGGCGGGTCAGCCCCCCGCCCGGCCAGCCGCCCCGTCCGGGAGGGAGGTGAGGGGGTCAGCCCCTCGCCCGGCCAGCCGCCCTGTCCAGGAGGGAGGTGGGGGGGTCAGCCCCCCGCCTGGCCAGCCGCCCCGTCCGGGAGGTGAAGGGCGCCTCTGCCCAGCCGCCCCTACTGGGAAGTGAGGAGCCCCTCTGCCCTGCCACCACCCCGTCTGGGAGGTGTACCCAACAGCTCATTGAGAATGGGCCATGATGACAATGGCGGTTTTGTGGAATAGAAAGGGGGGAAAGGTGGGGAAAAGATTGAGAAATCGGATGGTTGCCGTGTCTGTGTAGAAAGAGGTAGACATGGGAGACTTTTCATTTTGTTCTGTACTAAGAAAAATTCTTCTGCCTTGGGATCCTGTTGATCTGTGACCTTACCCCCAACCCTGTGCTCTCTGAAACATGGGCTGTATCCACTCAGGGTTGAATGGATTAAGGGCGGTGCAAGATGTGCTTTGTTAAACAGATGCTTGAAGGCAGCATGCTCCTTAAGAGTCATCACCACTCCCTAATCTCAAGTACCCAGGGACACAAACACTGCGGAAGGCCACAGGGTCCTCTGCCTAGGAAAACCAGAGACCTTTGTTCACTTGTTTATCTGCTGACCTTCCCTCCACTATTGTCCTGTGACCCTGCCAAATCCCCCTCTGCGAGAAACACCCAAGAATGATCAATTAAAAAAAAAAAAGAAAACTGATAATGCTTAAAATTAAACATGGTGCAACGTATCACTGACTAAAAACTGATATAAGAAAACATTATTCCAAAAAACATTTGGGTATCCACCACTTAACCCAGGAAAGTAGACCGTGTAGAAATAATGGTCCCTACAGACAATTTGTAGAAGCAGAATCTATAAATTATGATGTGAAAAATTCAGGTAATTTTTGTTTAAATATAGTGATCCTGATAAAAATTCAATTGAATTAAAAATTAGAGAAGATTAACTTGAATTAGTTATGTTTTTATAAAATATAAATTATGAAGTTAAAACGTAATATATAAGTATGCTCTGGAAAACACATTCTCAAATGAATAAAATTTCTTTTTATTGGATTAGTTGAATGTTTGATGTTATCTGTTTATTAAACCCAAGGGGATATCACCACCGATCCCACAGAAATACAAACTACCATCAGAGAATACTATAAACACCTCTATGCAAATAAACTAGAAAATCTAGAAGAAATGGATAAATTCCTCGACACATACACCCACCCAAGACTAAACCAGGAAGAATTTGAATCTCTGAATAGACCAATAACAGGCTCTGAAATTGAGGCAATAATTAATAATTAGCTTTCCAACCAGAAAAAGTCCAGGACCAGATGGATTCACAGCCAAAATCTACCAGAGGTACAAGGAGGAGCTGGTACCATTCCTTCTGAAACTATTCCAATCAATAGAAAAAGAGGGAACCTCCCTAACTCATTTTATGAGGACAGCATCATCCTGATACCAAAGCCTGGCAGAGACACAACAAAAAAAGAGAATTTTAGACCAATATCTCCGATGAAGATCTATGCAAAAATCCTCAATAAAATACTGGCAAACCGAATCCAGCAGCATATCAAAAAGCTTATCCACCATGATCAAGTGGGCTTCATCTCTGGGATGCAAGGCTGGTTCAACATACACAAATCAACAAACGTAATCCACCTTATAAACAGAACCAATGACAAAAAAACCATGTGATTATCTTGAGATATCAAGAGATGCAGAAAAGGCCTTTGACAAAATTCAACAACTCTTCCTGCAAAAAACTCTCAATAAATTAGGAATTGATGAGACGTATCTCAAAGTAATAGGAGCTATCTCTGACAAAGCCATAGCCAATATCATACTAAATGGGCAAAAGCTGGAAGCATTCCCTTTGAAAACAGGCACAAGACAGGGATGCCCTCTCTCACCACTCCTATTCAACACAATGTTGGAAATTCTGGCCAGGGCAATCAGGAAGGAGAAGGAAATAAAGGGTATTCAATTAGGAAAAGAGGAAGTCAAACTGTCCCTGTTTGCAGATGACATGATTGTATATCTAGAAAACCCCATCATCTCAGCCCAAAATCTCCTTAAGCTGATAGGCAACTTCAGCAAAGTCTCAGGATACAAAATCAGTGTGCAAAAATCATTAGCATTCTTATACACCAATAACAGACAAACAGAGAGCCAAATCGTGAGTGAACTCCCATTCACAATTGCTTCAAAGAGAATAAAATACCTAGGAACCCAACTTACAAGGACGTGAAGGACCTCTTCAAGGAGAACTACAAACCACTGCTCAATGAAATAAAAGAGGATACAAACAAATGGAAGAACATTCCATGCTCATGGGTAGGAATAATCAATATCGTGAAAATGGCCATACTGCCCAAGGTAATTTATAGATTCAATGCCATCCCCATCAAGCTACCAAAGACTTTCTTCACAGAATTAGAAAAAAACTACTTTAAAGTTCATAAGGAACTAAAAAAGAGCCCTCATTGCCAAGTCAATCCTAAACCAAAAGAACAAAGCTGGAGCCATCACGCTACCTGACATCAAACTATACTACAAGGCTACAGTGACCAAAACAGCATTGTACTTGTACCAAAACAGAGATATAGACCAATGGAACAGAACAGAGCCCTGAGAAATAATGCCACATATCTACAACCATCTGATCTTTGACAAACCTGACAAACACAAGAAATGGGGAAATGATTCCCTAGTTAATAAATGGTGCTGGGAAAACTGGCTAGCCGTATGTAGAAAGCTGAAACTGGATCCCTTCCTTGCACCTTATACAAAAATTAATTCAAGATGGATTCAAGACTTAAATGTTAGACCTAAAACCGTAAAAACCCTAGAAGAAAACCTAGGCAATACCATTCAGGACATAGGCATGGGGAAGGACTTCATGTCTAGAACACCAAAAGCAATGGCAACAAAAGCCAAAATTGACAAATGGGATCTAATTAAACTAAGGAGTTTCTGCACAGCAAAAGAAACTACCATCAGACTGAACAGGCAACCTACAGAATGGGAGAAAGTTTGTGTCATCTACTCATCTGACGAAGGGCTAATATCCAGAATCTACAATGAACTCAAACAAATTTACAAGAAAAAAACAACCCCATCAAAAAGTGGGTGAAGGATATGAAGACCCTTCTCAAAAGAAGACATTTATGCAGCAAAAAGACACATGGAAAAATGCTCATCGTCACTGGCCATCAGAGAAATGCAAATCAAAACCACAATGAGATACCATCTCACACCACTTAGAATGGCGATCATTAAAAAATCAGGAAACAACAGGTGCTGGAGAGGATGTGGAGAAATAGAAACACTTTTACACGGTTGGTGGGACTGTAAACTAGTTCAACCATTGTGGAAGTCAGTGTGGCGATTCCTCAGGGCTCTAGAACTAGAAATACTATTTGACCCAGCCATCCCATTACTGGGTATACACCCAAGGGAGTATAAATCATGCTGCTATAAAGGCACAAGCACAAGTATGTTTATTGCGGCACTGTTCACAATAGCGAAGACTTGGAACCAACCCAAATGTCCAACAATGATAGACTGGATTAAGAAAATGTGGCACATATACACCATGGAACAAAATGCAGCCATAAAAAATGAAGAGTTCATGTCCTTTATAGGGACATGGATGAAGCTGGAACCATCATTCTGAGCAAACTATCCAAGCACAAAACACCAAACACCGCATGTTCTCGCTCATAGGTGGGAATTGACCAAAGAGAACATATGGGCAGAAGAAGGGGAACATCACACTCCGGGGCCTGTTGTGGGGTAGGGTGAGGGGGGACGGATAGCATTTGGAGATATACCTAATGTTAAATGGCGAGTTACTGGGTGCAGCACACCAACATGGCACATGTATACATATGTAACAAACCTGCATGTTGTGCGCATGTACCGTAAAAGTTAAAGTATAATAAAAAAATAAAATAAAATAAAATTTAATTAGAAATGAAAAAAGAAAATTCTACAACTTGAAACTAGATAGAAGATAGATCAGAAACAAAAATAGGAGTAAAGTGTGACTTTCTTCTCACTGTTTGATTATTATAGAGGCATTTTTATTTCATTAAAATCTTATATTTCTGGGGCTAGTTAATGTTATGATATTTTATTTTTAAATAGTTTTATTTTATTTACTTCAGTTAATTTGTAATTTTTGAGGATGCATTGTAGGTGTATATACTTATGGGGTTCATGAGATGTTTTGATGCGGTCTCGCAATGCATAATAATCACATCATAGAGAATGGGATACCCACCCACTCAAGCATTTATTCTTTGGGTTAAAATCTGATTATTCCTTCTTAGCTAGTTTAAAATGTACAATTACATTATTATTGACCAGAGTCATCTCGTTGTGCTATCAAATAATATGTCTTATTTATTCTATTTTTTTGTACACATTAACAGTCCCCACCTTTCCCCCAGCCTCCACTGTCTTTCTTAGCCTCTGAAAACCATCCTTCTGCTCTCTATGTCCGTGAATTCAGTTGTATTAATTCTTCCATCCCACGAATAAGTGAGAACGCACAGTGTTTATCTTTCTGTGCCTGGCTTATTTCACTTAACATACTCTTCTCTTTTATCCATGTTGTCGTAAAAGACAAAATCTCATTTTTATGGCTGAATACTACTCCAATGTATATATGTACTACTTTTTTTATACATTCATTCATTTGTAGACTGTTTGCTTTCAAATCTTAGCTATTGTAAACAGTGCAGCAACAAGCCGATTTTCTTTCTTTTGTGTCAATGCCCATCACTGGGATTGTTGGGTTGCATTGTAGCTGTGGCAGCTCAATTTTTAGCTTTTTGAGGAACCTCCACACTTTTTTATAGTGGTTATACTAATTTACATTCCCACCAAGAGTGCACTAAAGTTTTCTCCACATCCTCGTCAGCACTTGTTATTGTCTGTCTTTGGGATATAAGACATTTTAACTGGAGTGAGATAATATCTTATTGTAGTTCTGATTTGCATTTCTCTGAGGTTTAATGATGTTTAGCAACATTTATATGTCTGTTTGCCATTTGTATGTTTTCTTTGTAGAAATGCCTCCTCCTGGCTGGGTGTTTCATGCCTATAATCTCAGCACTTTGGGATGCCGAGATGGAAGGATCACCTGAGGTCAGGAGTTTGAGATCAGCCTGGCCAACATGGCTAAACCCAGTCTCCACTAAAAATATAAAAATTTGTCAGGCATGTGTTCTGCATGGGAGATGCATGAGGAAGAAGAAAAGGCACACACAATACTTTTAAGGGTAAACATCTTTTGTCTCAATTATATGGCAATACAGATATAATAAGTAAATGATATGATAAGCAAATTGATACGAGAAGGGAAAAAATATATATATTTTTTATATATATAAATATATATATTATATATATAAAATTATATATGTATTTATTTACATTTATTTATTTAAATAATTATGTACGTAATTATATAATTATTTTTATTTACAGTTATATGTATAAATTATATACATATATATGTATATATATATATACACATATGTTTACACACAGCAGACTACAGAGTATGGAGGAAGCATCACCAGACACAGAAGCAACAGCCTGGGCTCCAGAGTCAGACACTACACTCACCAGACTATGGAGGATTCATCAACAGACCGGGAAGCAACAGCCTGGGCTACAGAGTTGGCCCCTCATCCCTGCAGAGATGGGGAGAGGTCTCAGGAAGCTCTAGTGCCATCTGGGACCCTAGCTCTTTTTGTAAGGAGTTCTTTGGCATAAGGCCGGGTAACGAGGACTCTTCACTACTGGGCTCAAAAACCACAAAAATGTCAAATTTTTGGCGATTGTCTGTTGTTTTTCAATAACTAACATACAGGAACAGATTAAAATAGAAATTTCTCTGAGACACTGGTGGATGAACGCCTGAAGAAACTCACAGAACCTGTTCCGGGACTTGGTGACCATTGTTTGTGTCCATGTTCAATTGAGATAAAATTGAATATTTAACTTTTCTTCCAAATTTGGCTTCAATTTGATACTCAATTGTAGGAAAATACCCTTACAGATACTTGGGGAAAGCATAGTTGATACAGATTACAGATTCAGGGTAAGCACAGGAGAATTAAAAGCACAGTTAATGAAAACCACACCCACCATGGCTGTGCAAGGAGAGTCGTAGTGTGAGAATTGTCAGGGATATACACACAACATTCGGTATGCAGTAAGGTACAGGGACGATTCTCCAACGTAGCCCATTTTTGGTGGCCTCTGGCAATTCCACGCATAGCCAACATTGACTGCAGTTGGCTTCTGTTGCAGTGGTGGCTATGCAGATGATGAATTTATTCTTGGCATCAGACACAGAGACACAGGTACTGACCATTAGTAAACAGGTTATTCTCTGTAATAACCAAAACAGAGGGGAACATAATATTGTTTTTCATCTTTAGGAAACTGTACTATGCCTTCAGTTTCTTCTCCCATAGCTACAAGTTCACCAGCCATAGGAGTAGGATGTGATGGACGCTGTACTCATATTTTGGCTCCAGGATTTAAGCTACGTGTACCAGTGCGTCTGAATCTCCCAGTTCTGTATGTAGCCTCTGTTGGGGCAGAGACATCCTCAGGGGTTAATTGTTGACAAGGTACCACTAAAAATTGAGGAACCCACATCTGCAGTTTTACAGCAAAAGATTCTCGAGTGATATTGTATAAAATGATCTTTAACTCTCCCCTGTAACCACTCTGAATTATACCACCATACATTATGCCGTTCATTGCAAGACTTGAATGTGTTTTAATCCATTCATCCGCATTCAAATTTGCAACTATGGTGGAAATTTTGGCCTGTTGATCTGTCTGCTGATTAAATAGTCTGTCGAGAAAGCAGAGACACATGAGCATCAACATGAAAAACAGTGATAATGATAGTGTGCACCAGGATTCAGGTATCTTCCCAGGAGTGTTTTCCCTCTTTATGCCTAATTAACCATTTGTAAAGATAAAATAGAGAATGAAGGTGGTGTCGGTGAGATTGGACATCAAAAGACACAAAAGGAATGTGACATGGTGACCTGAGAAAGGAATAGAGAGAGAAATTAAAATAGACAAAAAGGGGAATCAGCAAGGAGATGGAGGAGGCAGAATAGAAGAGGGGACTCAACAAACAGGAGCAGTTGGTGCAACAGAGGGTGCATCGCATACTTGTACGACGCTTCTTTCATTTTCTAGTTACTTTTCCTTTTAAATTTGTGTCAGATTTAGTTAAGGTGTCAACGTTTTTTTAAATCTTTTTATATACTGAAAATATTCTTTGCTGTTTAGTAAATAACTTTCAGTATTTCAATTTGCTCTTGATAAGAGTATTAATTTTTAAATCAACAGACAACATTCAGTAAAACTAGTTAGTCTAATATGCAGCAGCTTCTTCTCTTCCACATGTGATTTGGGAAATTAATGCACTGTGAGACGAAATTTCCAAGTCTATGATGTCTTTAAGTTCCCTTTGCTCTTTTTTTTTTTAGCAGATATTGAAGAATGGGCTGGCTGGGCATGAAACTTTCTTCCACCAAGACCATCTTTTCATGATAAATACATTGTCCTGAGTTATTTTTATAGCTAATCCTCTTTCTTGTTTCCAATTGTCAATTATTACATATTTTCAACTTTATAATTTTGGAAGTTCGATGTGATTTCTCAAAAAAAAGAAAGAAAAAAAGAAAATGCTTGAGTTTAATGTGATTAGAATAACAGAGAAGTTTCTCCTGGTCAAGAGTATAAAATTTGGTCTGAGACCTTTAGCCAGTGCTGGTGACTCTCTGCTGACCTGTCCTCATCCTATCCCTCCCTTCCCAAACATACACTTACACAGTCACAAGGCAGCTGAGGAGAGGAGAGCACAGACTTTAAACTCTGTATGTGTATATATTTTAAGATAGAACCTTGCTCTGTTGCCCAGGATGGAGTGTAGTGGCACTATCTCGGCTCACTGTAGGCTCCACCTCTGAGTTCAGGCGATTCTCGTGCCTCAGTCTCCCAAGTAGCTGGGATTACAGGTGCCTACCACTATGCCCAGCAAATTTGTGTGTTTTTAGTAGAGTCAGGGTTTTGCCATGTTCCCCAGGTTGGTATCATACTCTTAGCCTCAAGCGAGCCACTGGCCTTGGCCTCCCAAAGTGCTGGAATTACAGGCATGAGCCACAATACCCGGCCTGTCTTTATATGATTTCTTTGGCTGTAAAGAGTATCAGTGGTGTCTGTACCTTTCTCAGTGGCTTAGGGTATCGTTTTTAGCAGAGGCTGTGGTAAAGTTTTGCTGGGAATAGGGGCACCAGAGGTTTAGTCATTGGATCCCAGTGGTGGCAGTGGTGAGCTTACCATGCCTGCTTTTGGGCCTCAAGGCAGTTATGCTGGCAGCAGTGTTAACAGGTCCAGGAAGACTAATTATTTGGCCTTCATGTGATTTGCTCAGGTGTCAGCAGTGAGCAAGGTGGGTGGGCAGCTTCTTGAGCCCCTGGACAGTGGTTATGGCATGGATGATGGCAGTAGCAACGACAAGAAAAACCTTTGACTCCCAAGCGTTCCATGCTGGTGTTGGTGTTTGCTGTGATGGGCTGGGAAGGCCAGTTTCTAGGAACACAGGTGGTGTATATATGTGGGTATCAGCTGCGTTAGTAGCTCCAGGTTCAGTGAGTCCATCCTCAGGTCTCAGAGAAGAGTGCTCAGGTGCCAATCTTGTTAGACTTCACTGGACTGAAGTCCATATTTTAAGCACTATCTGGCTCCACACACTCATTGGCCGTTCTTATCATCACTCTGAGCCCATTAACCCCGCAGCAGAAAAACATCAGGAAAGTTTTTAATATTTCTTCTTTGGGGCACAGTATGCAAGGAAAGGAATTGTATTAAGAGATGAAGTAAGTACTCTTATTAGAAAAAGGAACACTTTGGGGCCAGAAATGGACCAGTGTCCAAGGCATGCAGAAAGCAGGAAATAATTACCGGGTCATGGGATGGAACTATGGAGAGTGACTAAAGTTTCAAGATCATAAACCAGTCTTTAGTTGCTCCTAATTTAATTTAATGCAATCCTCACTCTTTGTCATCATTTGGTTTTAATGTATAAAGCTATGGGGTCTGCTTATTGTATGTTTTGTAGTATAATTTGGAAATTAATCTATCAGCTCTTTTTTCTCAGCCCAGTTGGTGTCTTGTCAACTCCTCTGCACTAATTGCTTCTTGTTTTCTCACAGTCCAGCCCTATGTTCTCATGAGCTGTGACCCTGGGGTATCCAGGCTCCGTTTTGCCTGCTGTGGAAAAAGTGCAGCTTTCTAAGCTGGTCACATATCTCTACATTAAATGTACATTGTCTTTTTAAAGCAATGTTCAGACATTCATATATTCTTTCTTCCTGAGGTTTAAGCACCACAAGCAGCAGTCATATAATGGAGAGATTCTCAACAACAGAGTGAGTCTCTGCCATAATTGGATTTATTATACGTTAGAAACAGCAGTTACATACTAAATGTTTTACAAAGTGTTTTTTATAATTTTTATTTCCTTAAATATTGCAAATAGAAAATTTAGAGGTCCAACATTTATTTAAAATTTGGCTCTTGTAATTTGCAGTGGAAAGCTTATATGAGTATCTACCTCTAAACCAATTAATTAAAAATGCTCTGGGGTTAACTGGGCACCAAAGTATAAGAAAATTTTAATTAAGTGAAAAAGTCTAAGTAATGACCAACTAAGGAAATAAAAAGGAAATTATACTTTCAACCCCCTTTCCCCCAGTTGCTCTATGCTCTATTTTTTTTCTATTGCCAAGTTGTACAATTTTATTTTTGTCCTTGATAATTGTACTTTATTTTAACGTGACTAGATTATATTTTATTTTATTTTATTTTATTTTATTTTATTTTATTTTGTTTTATTTTATTTTAATGTGACTAGATTTTGCCTCACTCCAGGCTGGAGTACGGTAGCATGATTATAGTTCACTGTAACCTCAACTTCCTGAGTTCAAGTAATCCTCCTGCCTCAGCCTTCTAAGTAGTTGAGACCACAGTTACATGCTATAATGTCAAAATAATTTTTAAAACATTTTCAGTGACAAGGTCTTGCTTAGGCTTGTCTCAAACTTCTGGCCTTAATTGATCCTCTGGCCTCAGCATCCCTAGCAGCTGAAATTTCAAGTGTGAGCCACTGAGCCCAGCTCTTTATTTTTATAAATATTTATCTCCTTAGTTTTTTCTGAAGCATTTTCAACACCTTCACCTGAACTTTCAGGCTTTCAACTCACAGTTGATTTTATCCATTTTGCTATTCATCCTATTTATTCTATTGCTTGTATACTTTTGTAACATATTTAATATTTTGAGTTTTAAATTCTTGCTACTTATATGTATGTATTTTTAGTTGTCTCTTTTGCAAGGCTGCGATTCTCTCTAGAGAAGAGAATGGGCTCTATGCTTTCTTGAGAAAAGCATTTTATAACATGGGAGTAAAACAGACCCTGTGGAAAATAAAATAAAAGGCATTTTAATCATGATTTTTTATAAATTGCTATTTGGGAGACACAAATTTAGCAAGAAGCTATATCATGTTCCATTCAGATGAGGTTAGGGAGGGACTTATAAAGTTTTACTGCAAGTTTACACAAGTGAAAGATTTTAGCACAGTCTATGATGGACAATGTTTGATTGCCAGCTTAGACTGTATCTAGGCAATCATCAGCTTAATTCAGCACAGCTTTCTCTTCAGGAGGTTTGTGATCAGGCTCAGTATAAACAATCCAAGTCAAATGCAGTTGCCTTTTTAGGACATCTGTAATTTTCCCAGTTCGAACAGGTAAAATTCCACCTGGGTGTGTATAAGTATTAATTCAACTCCTCATGTCCTCCTAGTTGTCTTTAGAGACCTCTCAAATAACTATCTCCATTTTGGATTTCTTTTAATTAGAAATAAAGAGCGCAAGGATTATCACTGGTTGGGAATATAGAAAAATAGTGCCCACCTGTGATTCATCGGACCCCAGTCAGAGAGAAAAGGCCAAGATATGCCTGACAGAAAGGCTTGAGGACCTTTAGGTAATTTATTCCTCAAAAAGAATTGGTTCACACCTGTAATTCCAGCACTTTGGAAGGCCAAGGCGGGCAGATTATTGGAGGTCAGGAGTTCAAGACCAGCCTGACAAACATAGTGAAACTAAAAATACAAAATTTACTAAACATACTAAACGTACAAAAATTAGCTGGACATGAAGCTGGGTGCCTGTAATCTCAGCTACACAGAAGCCTGAGGCAGCAGAATCTCTTGAACCCAGGAGGTGGAGATCGCAGTGAGCCAAGATTGTACCAATGTACTCCAGCCTGGGTGACACAGCAAGACTCTGTCTCAGAAAGAAAAAATTGGATAAAGAATTGCCCTAATGCTGGGAATTTTACCTCATAGGTAGTAAAAATATTTACAGAATAAGGCCCAGGTGTAGCCATAAAGTGGCATTACAATTCTTTCATTCTAGATAAGAAACTAACTTAAAAAAAGAATAGAAATTCTAAGGTAAGAGACAAAACTCTGGGAGGATTTACATCTAAGGTAAAGGCTCAATCACAGGACACCAGAAGAAGATTGAGAATGCAGCTTCCTTTCTGCCCTGCATCCATTGTCAATAGACTTTCCCTGGCCTTCTCCTTTTGACTTTGGTCATTTTATTTTATAATGTTTTTTTCCACATAGACCTGATGCAACTCCAGAGTTGGAAGAAAAAACAACAATGTCCTAATAGTTGCTTAGAGGAAACCTCAACAAGTGAAGCAGAAGTTGATTTATTTTTTGTAAAATCATAGAAAGGTATTCATCCTCCTGATCTCTGCAACTGCTTTTTAAAGAAATCTATATTTCCAAGACTGTCGCTATGCTTTGTGAAAATACCTTCAAATTATTAATTCTGCAAGTTCGAATGATCTATCTTCACTCTTTCCTTGGGTTAATATTAAAATGAACATATGCTCTGAGAAAAATGGACCTGGGTGTCTTATCCGGCAGCCAGAAACTATGACTGCTTTTCTCTTCTTCCTCATACATTATGCTGCTGACTCTTTAGGATTTCATAATTCAAGGAGAAATGTTAGAGTCTGTATCTCATTTAAGCTTACACAAGTGAAATAAAAAGAACCACAACCACAACTCCGATTTTGTAGTAGAATGAGATTTTCATATAATATTTGACTCTAGCATTTACTATTTACGAAAAATAAATATTTCCCCTCCTCTCTGGATAAACACATTCTGGGGAAGAGCTCTCAGGGAGATGGAGAAGAGCTGTCTCTTCTTCTTCTGATTTTCAGTTGTTCCAGCAAATGTCTCACAATATTCTTTACATTGAAGCTGCAGGAAATGAACCAAAACACCAAGTGCCTTAGTTGGGCCCTGCTGCTGAGGAAGAGGCTGTGTTTGAGCTGGTCTCAGTTTGCCCTGTCACTGACATAGGACTCTGTACTGGGGCCTGGCTACTAGATGGAAGGGCTAAATTATGTTGGGACTTCCCTCAGAATTATGGCTCACCCTCCTCCCTCATCTGCATTCTGAGCTCCAGGCACTGTGTAGAGCACTCCGTTCATTGACAGTTCCCATGTATCCCTGATATGTGAGTCATCAGCACGGCTGCACTTCACAGAGGACAAAATGAAATCGAGGGGAGGAGAGGCAACTCTCGCCACCTGCAGGACTGGTCAGTGGTGGAGCCGGGATCCCAGAGTCAGCTTTTAGGATCACTTCACTCACATTAAGCCCAAAACTTCACTGAGCCTTTTAAAATAAAGGGATACTGATTGTCCCACCTCACAGCCCTCGGGTAAAGCTAGATCAGGCTCAATGTGGAGGGCACTGAGCACAGCACAAGTTGCATGTGAGTGGGGACTGTCATTGTTTCCTGGGGCCCTCAGGTTTGGAGGTTTCCTGCCATGTAGTGACAGCTGGCTTAGGGGGCATTAGGGGAGGGGCTTCCCCACAGTTTGTTGCAACAGCCACGTGGCTCAACCAGGAATGTTCCAAAGTCATCCAGATAATTTCCCAGATGACCACTCAGTCATGTGGTGTCCTACTACCCATGGGATACAGCCTAAACTTTTTATCATAGGAGGAATAATTTCTAGTGTCTGACAGCACAGTAGGATAACTACAGTTAGCACTAATTTTTAATATATTTTAAAATAGATAGAAGAGATGGCTTTAAATTCTCCCAACACAAAGGAAATTTTTCAAACACAAAGAAAATAATATCCATGTTTGAGGTGATGGATATTCTAATTACCCTGATTTGATCACTGTACATTGCATGCATGTATCAAAATATCACTCATGCACCACAAATATATACTATTATTATGTATCAACAAAGGGAAAATTGCTAAAAGTGGCTCCCAACTAAAAAAAAAAAGTCAATTTCTAAGTCACAGAAAAAGATGCTCACTTTAAATTGTAAGTTCTGTGACAGAATGTAAAGGTTTGCATAGTCACTTTTACAGTCCCAGACTATCATGCATAGAACTGCCTGGCCCCGTGTGTATGTACACACAGAGATACAACCATGCTTCTCTAGTGGGGCATTTTTTTCTCCCTGAAACATTTGCCAATGTTTGGAAACCTGTCTTGCTGTCTGGTTATTTTAGTAAATTGATTATGACTGTAATTAGGCCCAATTTAGTGACTGTAATTAGGCCCACTTGCTGTCTGCACATAGATGATCAGGGGCAAGTAGTCGAAGATATAGTTAAAGACATGATGAAACTGGCACATGTGCCAGTACAAGTGTGGCACCGATTTGACACTGAGGCCATGTTTGAAAATGGTTCCCGGCACTAGAAGGATTTAAAACTCTTATAATGGAAACTATAGTAGTAATAGGAACCTGCTTACTGATCTCTTGCTTACTAGCTGTACTCATTCAAGTGGTAAAAGTTTTCATGGCAACTCTAGTTCACCAGAACGCTTCAGCACGAGTGTACTACATGAATCACTATCAATCTGTGATAGAGGAAGACATAGGTAGTGAGGAAGAAGGTGAGAACTCCCACTAATAAAATGAGTGAGAGTCTCAAAGGGGGAAAATAAGGGAGGAGACCAACCCTCATATTGTCTTATACCCAATTTCTGCCTCCAAAGAAAGAAGAAGTAAAAACTAGAAGGCAGAAATGAAATCCACAAGCAGACAGCCCAGCGCCACACCCTGGGCCTGGTAGTTAAAGGTCAACCCCTGACCTAATCGGTTATTTGCATAAAAAATGCACTGTGAAGATCCCTGTCCTGTTCAGTACCTTTCTAATTACCAGTGTATGCAGCCCCCAGTCACATACCCACTGCTTGCTCAATAGATCGTGACCCTCTCATGCGGACCCCCTTAGAGTTGTGAGCCCTTAAAAGGGACAGGAATTGCTCACTCGGAGGGTTCAGCTCTTGGGAAAGAAGTCTTGCTGAAGCTCCCAGGTGAATAAACACCTTCTTTCTTTAACTCAGTGTCCAAGGGGTTTTGTCTGCCACTCTTCCTGTTACATTGGGAGAGGCCAATGTGGGCAGCGACATGGGGAGGCACAGATCCCTTAGTGGTGGCTGTGTGCTCTGAGGCGAATGTGGGGAAAATCAGACCTAAGATGCTTCATATGGCTGATAGTACCAGTTTTACAGCTGCAGCAGTCTGCGACAGGGGAAGGCATGGTCCTGGCTAAGCAGCATCTGAAACTCCCGCAATAGGACCAGGTCTGGTGGACTCAAGAGTGAAAGTCAGAGTGAAAGTGAACTGCAAGAGAGGAAATGAGAGTGAAAACATCAAAAGTGGCTCCTTTGAAAAGCATAATAAAGAATTTTAAAAAAAGAGTTAGAGGTGATTATAGGATGAAACTGAGTGTTCAAAAGTTAAGGACATACTGTGAATTAGAATAGCCCTGTTTTAGTGTCAGATGGCTTGCCAAAGGCACTATAGAAAAATTGGCCGTGTGTTTTAAGGTGGTGACTAGGGTCAGAGAACAGCCAGGACATTCAGACCTAGTCTTTATATTGACTCATGGCTAAATGAATGCAGCCCTGCCTAGCAGTTTACTGTAGAATGCTCGCAGCTCACGGCAAGAGAAAATCAGCTGCTCTGGCAGCTACAGAGTTAAAAGGAGACACAGAGGCTTGTAGCACCTCCCAGCCAAAAGTGAAAGTAAAATCAGCTGCCCCAGCAACTGAAGACAAATGAAAAAATCTCAGAAAAGGCAGAAAAACCGGTTTTGTCACAACCACAGAAAAGAATAGAGACCGCTCCTCCTTACATTCCAATCTACCCCCTTTACCAAGGTAACTGTCCCTAAGGAGTTAAGTTCAAATGGATACATGCTGCCAGTCTCACCCGAGAAGGTGAAATGAGAGCGAAAATCAGGCAGGCCGTCTCAGGTCTGGTCGTGCATAAGATATGCTCATGCCTCTTAAGAGGACAGGAGGACCCCCACTAGGACCCAGATGATGCAGTCCAGATTCAGCACCTGCAAAGGTGCCGAGAAGCCCATCTGCAAAGGCTAAAGGATGGTAAAAGAAAAAGGCAATCAATATTTTAAAAAATCTCAGACATGCTTCAGGGTGCAGATAAAAGCACAGCAAGTTCTATGAAAGACTTTGTGAGGCATTTTTATTGTACACTCCGTTTAACCCTGAGGCTACTCAAAAATCAGTGCAGGGTGAATCCAGCACTTGTAAGGCAGACCCCAGGAGATATCAGGCATAAATTGCAGAAGTTACAAGCTCCGTAGGCGTGAATGCTACTCAGCTTATTAAAGTGACAACCAAGGTGTTAATTAACCGAGATGAGGAGGCAAAGGAAAAGGCTGATCACAGGCTTAAGAAAGGCTAACTTACTAGCAGCAGCCCTTCCGGGAAGAGGAGCTGGCTTTACAAGGAGGCATGGACGCGGGCGTGAACGTAGTCATGAAAAAGGCTAGTCTGGACAGGAGTGTGAAGGCCAGCCGAGGCTAGAGAGAGATTAATGTGCATGGTGCAAAAGGAAAGACACTGGAAGCATAAATGTCAAAGAAATAATGAAAATGATCAGGGCAATAGTAAAAGAAACAAAAAACAAACCAAAAAAACCCAAAAAAACAGAACCAAAAAATCACACACACACACCAGCCAAGGGCTACTACACGCAGAAGAAACCCAAGAACCACTGCACCTGCTGTAGAAGGCAGAATAAAAAGTGTCAGAAAAAAGCTCAAATCTCCTCTAAAAGTGTCAATATTTAAGCTTTTATATAAGCCAAGAGGAAAGATGGCTTAGTCCTGAAAAAAAGCAGGCTGTTTGTGCACTTTCTACTCCAACCACCCGGTGTCAAGTAAGAGAGTTTCTAAGAGCAGCAAGGTTCTGCCGCGTTTACAACCCAAATTTCTTGCTCATGGTCAAGCCATCATACCAAGCCACTAAGAGGAGGAAAAAAGGAGCCCCTCCTCTAGGAGGCCAAAGAGGAGAAGGATTTTAAAGAAATCAAAGAAGCCTTGACTCAGGCCCCAGCTTTAGGACTGCCAGATCTAACTAATCAAGCTTTTCTTCTTGTATGTGCACAAGTGAAAGGGAGGCCATAGGGGTTCTGACTCAAGCCATAAGGTCATGGCATCGCCTGGTGGCATATTTATCCAGGCAATTAGATTCTGTTGCACTTGGATGGCCTCCTTGTCTTAAAGCACTAGCAGCCACTGCCGTACTGGTGCAGGAAGCTAGTAAACTAACTTTAGAGACTGTGAATACCCTAAATCCGGCTACCTTACTCTCATCGAGTCAGTGCCAGGAGGACCGTTTCATTGTGGTGTGGACGTGGTAGATGAAGTGTTCTCAAGCCAGAGAGATTTGACAGATCAGTCCCTCAGGGACCCAAACATTGAATATTCTACTGATGGAAGCAGTTTCATACTAAAAGGAGCCCGCCAAGCTGCGTATGCAGTGGTGACTTTAGACTCAACAGTAGAGGTGCAGTCTTCATCTACAGAAACTTCTGATTAGAAAGCAGAACTAAGAGCTCTGACAAGAGTTCTCTGGCTAGCAAAAGACCAAAAGACCAATATTTATACAGGTTCCAAATATGCTTCTGCCACTTTGCATGTTCATAAGGTTATTTACAAAGAAAAAAAGAAGACTTTTAACTGCTGGAAACAAAGAAATAAAGTACAAGGAAGAAATCCTACAGCTCTTAAACGCTGTATGGGCCCCAAAAGTGACGGTAGTGAAGTCCTGCAAGAGGCAGCAAAAAGCAAGAACACTAAGGGCTAAAAAAGATACGAAGGCAAAGAGGCAAAGAAGGCTGCAATGACAACTCCACCTAAAGAAGATGCCTTAGCTATGCCTCTCCTCCCGGAGATTCCCCTCCTGGAGATCCCAATCTTCACTCCAAATAACAGAGCTTGGCTTCCCCAGGAAAATAAGAACTACATTGAAAGAGGATAATACAAATTCTTCAATGGGAGGCTAGCCATACCTGAAATGGTGACCCCCAGATTTGTAAAACAATTCCACCACCGAACTCAGATTAAAAAAAAAATAAAGACATTATTAAGCCATCATTTTTATCTGCCATGGCTCATTGCTATTACTCGGGCCATTTGTAAACTGTGTTTAACTTACACTCAGAACAATCCACGACAAGATCCTACTCGGCCCATGGGAGTTCAGGAAAAAGGAGCCATGCCCTGTGAAAAACTGCTTATGGACTTCACTGAATGACCCTGAGACGGGGGCTATCAGTACATATTGGTGTTCATTTGCACCTTTTCAGGATAGCTCAAGGCCTTTACCACCAGGACAGAGAGGGCACTAGACGTGACCAAGGCGTTAAGAGACATTGTTTCCAGATTTGGGCTGCCTCTAACTCTAAGATCAGAGAATGGACCAACATTTGTGGCTAAAATAGTTCAGGACTTAACTCGACTATTAAAAATAAAATGGAAATAACATACAGCCTACAGGTAGCAGATCTCAGGTAAAGTGGAGAGCATAAACTGGACACTCAAGCAGCTGTTGAAGAAATTTTGTTGAAAAACTCATCTGAAGTAATATCAGGTCTTGCCCATGGTCCTCTTATGAGTCAGGTGCACCCCCACCAAAAAACTGAGTATTCGCCCTCTGAGATTTTCTTCAGCTGCCCACCCCCCATAAAAATCAGATTCAGGGTAATCTCTGTAAATTGGGAAAACTAACTTTAAGAAGGCAAATGCAGGCTTTAAGTATGGCTATACTAAAATGCATGGTTAAGTATGTAAAAAAATGCCTATAAGTCTAACAGACCCAGTACACCCTTTCAAACCTAGGGACTTCGTTTAGGTAAAAAATGGAATTCAACCACTCTAGGACCCATATACGATAGGCGCCATATTGTAATCATGTCCACTCCCACTGCTGTTAAAGTTGCAGGTGCCACACCTTGGATTCACCATAGCCATCTAAAACCAGTGACAGTAGCGAGTCCTGATGACAACCTGTGGATTAGCCAACAAGACCCAGATTGCCCCACTCGAATAGCCCTATGGCAAATCTCAGCCACCGGTAAAAAGGACAACCGCCCTGCTCTGACCACACTGGAGGCTGGTCAGTCTAAGCATGGCTGAAGCTTAAGGATTCTTCAAACTCTGCTCTAGTCACATCCCGGAAGCTGACTAGTGTACACACAGCCGAAGCTAAGAGGACCATGTCCAGATAAGTAAATGTGAATACAATTTATAACCATAGTTACAATTCTGTCAATACTGATTGTTCCGTTGTTATGTTATTACTGCAAATGCTGCAAATGTCTATGCCCAGAGGAAAGTTTTTGTGCCCATGTGTAGTGTAAGCATGTTTCTATTACATACAACAATGTTGTTACCATTTATGCTTATACTGAAAGGGGATAAATCTCTTGAAGGATGTCCACGCTGTGTACATATTACCTGGATAAAAAATACCACAGTTAAAACTCTACTGTACCATACCTACTATGAATGTACAGGAAGCAAATTAGGAATATGCACATACAACCAGACCACCTATTCAGTCTGTGACTGAGGAAATAATCAGCTATATGTATGTTATGAGCCTGGGCTCTTACCCTATTAATTCTATTTTGAGGTACATATTAAATCAGAGGGAGAAACAGAAGGAAAGCTTATAGCTCAAACCAAAGAAATCCCACCCTTCTAAAAAGGGCCTATTTCTTCTTTGATGACTGCCATGCCACGTATGTTCATAATCCTAAAAACCAGATTGTAAGACAAGGACATGCGATCCTTTAAATTTTACTATCTTAAAGCCAGAGCTACCTTTTTGGTCTACAGGACAGACAGCACTATTACGAGTTGATAGACAAGAAGCAGGTCTTGGAGTTCCACTACTAATTGTCAAAAATACTATAAGGACTCAAATGCATCCAACCCCTCAATACCAAGTCATTCTGTAAGCATTTTGATCAGCCAGTGCCCGAGGTTCCCCCATCAACCAAAAACTTATTTGCTCAACTAGCTGAAAACACAGATGGCAGCTTAAAAATTTCTTCATGCTATGTATGTAGAGAAACTAATATGGAGAATGAGTGGCAATGGGAGGCAAAGGAATTAATGCCACAAGATAACTTCACTTTGCTTAACCCTGCCAGTGAACCAACAGCCTCAGCCAGTGTTTGATTGTTAAAAATCTCCATAACTGGAAAGTACTGTATCACTCGATGGGGAAAGGCTTTCACAGAGGCAGTAGGAAAAACAACCTGCCTAGGGCAACAGTATTATTACGAGACTAAAAACAAAACTCTATGAAGAAATGCCCAGAATGACTCCTACTTACCAGATCCAAACACTTTCTCTGGATTCCTTACTCTAAGCTGCACTTGGCATCAGGTAGATGATTCAAATGCTTGAAAGGCACCCTCTGGCCTATATTGGATCTGTGGAGCATGGACATATTGGCAACTGCCAGCAAAATGGGCAGGGGCGTGTCTGTTAAAAGCAATCAAGCCATCCTTCTTTCTAATTCCTCTAAAGCAAGGGAAATTCTTAGAATATCCAGTTTATAATAAAAATAAAAGAAGAACTAGAAAAAGCATAATCACAAAAGTAACAAAAATATCAAAAAAGATGTGGACACAGGAGACTAAAAAGATAATAAATGACCTCCTGAAAGAATCATGACATGCTATGGGCCAGCTACCTAGGTGCAAGACAGGTCATGAGGGTACTGCACCATAATCTATATCCTCAGCCGCATCATGAAGTTGCAGGCAGTCCTTCAAATCATAACCAATGAAATATCGAGGGCACTAGATTTATTGGTAATACAAGCAACACAAAAAGGAAATGCTATATATCAAAATAGGCTGGCTTTAAATTCTCTCTTATCCTCAGAAGGAGGAATATGTAGAAAATTTAATTTAACCATCTGTTGCCTAGAAATCAATAGCCAAGAAATCAATATTAGTGGTCATAAAAATTACAGCTAGAATGCACAAGTTGGCCCAGGTTCCACTTCAGACTTGATCCAGGTAGTCCCCGGATTCCTTGTTTGGAGGATGGTTCTCAGCATTTGAAAAATTCTAAACCCTCATTAGTAGGTTCTTGCTTATTCTTTGCATCTGCCTTATCCTCCCTTGCCTTTTGTCTCTGTTTATTAGGAGTATTCAGTCAACTATGGAGGCAATGGTAGCCCAAAACACTACTGTACAGTTGATGCATTAACCAGATATCAGCCACCGCCAGAAGAAGAAAAAGCTCAGCTCCATGAAGACTTGGCAAATAATGGTGCTTTCTATTAACACCTCTGTTATAAAAAGCACCAATGGGGAGAATGGAACAGGAATTATAAGAGATTAAAGAGTGTGTAAGCAGAAACTCACTTGTGTGTAAGAAAACCCAACTTCTGTTGAGAAAGAGTAAGAGCTGGAGTCCTTTAAAAACTAACTGCCTGTTTTTCTGTGGCTAGTGATCCTTATCTCTCCTCCTTTCCCAGGGATTGTGAAGACCCTGTTTCCCAAGCTGTGAAGCTGCAAGGTCACTAGACAGATAAATTCAAGTCACAAAACAGGTTTTTCCTTGAAAAGTAAGAAATAATGTAATGCATGTCTCAATTGAATAATTGTCTTTGTTTCTTGCTTCTGTAGTATGATTCTCCCTGCACAAATCTCTCCCCACCCATGAAATGCTTAAAAGGTAACTTAACTCTTTGTTCAGGACTCATTCTTTGGATGTTAATCCGACTGGACCAGTGCACCTAAATAATTAATAAATACCCTCCTGAACCCCATCGGCCTCTCTGATTTCTTAAAATTCCACTACATACAGACTTCTCTACTATTGACCCCCACATTCTTTTCTTCCACACAGGAAGTCCACATATAAAATCGTGTGTGAAACTATTCTATTTGAGGTGTATTTCTGTGCCCTAGGATCCAGATAATCTCTTACATTTTAAATTCTTGCTTTTTTGTGGCTCACAGTATGATGTTATCAAAAATTAGGCAAATATTCTGATACTTTCTTAATTTTACAAGGGGGAGAATTGTCCTTAGATAATTACATTCTGGAAAGGCCATAATGAGCAACTCTGGACCTGATTGATTGTCATTTTTGGGTCCACTGCAGGGCTGCATACTAAGGGACAGTGGTCATTCTGAGTTCATAGAAAAAACCTGACATGAGAGGGGACATTTTGCTAGACATGCCACCTGGTGCACAGAGCTGAAAAATGAGACCTGCTGGTGACTTGTTTATCAAGCTTAGGGTCTTGAGGGCTTTTTAAATTCAGTGCTTTAAAAGCTGGCCTCACATCCTGAGTTCAGAAAAACCAAAATTTTTTGTTTTCTATAGACTTTTTGGTTGAAAATCCCTTTTCCATTGACTTTTAAACTAGTTATTTACAGCACAAGCCCCATGTCTAGTAACAAAGGTGTCAGCCATCTTCAAAATGTGTTTTTACTAATACTTTATTTTTAAGCTTTATTAACTAAAGATATATTTATTTATAGTCACTTTGAGTCTCCAGGATAAATATTAGTCTTAAATTGTTATTTCTCATAAAGTCTTGGAGGTTGCTAAGTTCTACTGTTTTGCACGTAAAAAATCAAGAAACTCTTTAGTACAATATTAGAGAATACTTGTATTTACTTAGATTTTATAGTACTATTTTTATTTTTCTCTTTATTTCTTAGATATAGGTACTCAAATTTCTACAAACTGACAACATAATATGCTTACTTGAAAATATTACCAGAATAATTGAAGTTGATAATTAAAAATGAAAGATAAAAAATATGAGAATTGCTGAAGCCTTGTGGTGGGTATGTATGATAAATGTTAGTTTATAATTCTCCCTATGTTTGCTAAGATTTTTTATTTTCATAATATCTTTTAAATATATAATTTAAGAATTTTATGGAAACTTTCACATACTGTATATTAGCCTTGTTTTACAATAAAACAAGTCAAACATCTTCTCACATGTTTTATCAATATATTTAGGAGTTCAATATTGAATTTGAGTGTTGAAATTGGTTACAAATGAGGGACAAAAGAGCAGCTTTCTAATTGGCCATACACTAAAAGTACCAGCAACTGTGGACAGGGGTGCCACTAACACACTTTATTTAACATTTTTGCTGTGAGTCATTTTTGATAAGGAATATTTTAACCCTATGATGACATCATAACAAGTTTCTAATAATCAGTGACTCAGAGTGGTCTTCAATAGTGTACTATTATTTAATTTACATTTCTGGCCTGGTAAATCTAAGCAGGTAATTTATGTCTATTAATACATTTTACAATTGTAATTTTTTTCTTATAACTATTTGCCATGAAGATTTTAATGTTATAACTATATCTTTGTCTTTTCCTCTTTATTTAACATGCCTTGAGATGAACAATAAATGGGTTTGGTTTTACAGTCTGTGACTTAGTTCTCCAAAAGTCAACAGTTTCATTTGGAAACATTTTAGAGGGATATAATTTTATAACAAAACCATCACATGTTTTAAGTGTACAATTCCAAGTTTTTAAAGTGTATTTACAGACACCCATAACCACAATCTAATTTTGAAATAACCTTATCACTATGGAAAAAGAAATTAATCTCTTTTGTACTTACTGATTTCATTACCCTGGTCATAGGCAATCAGCCTGTTTTTATATATAAGCCTTTTATTAAAAGTTATTTTAAGTGAAATCATAAATTATCTGCCCTTTTGCATTTGGTTTATTTTACTTACTTTAGTGATTTTGAGGTTTTTTCTTGACATAGCAGGTATTATTACTTCATTTTCTTTGTTTGGCACATAGTATTTTATTGTATGGACACACCACACGTTATTTTTTCTGTTATTATTTGATGGATATTTTGGTTTTATCCCCTTTGGGCTATTACAAATACTGCTGCTTTGATCATTTACATCTGATTCTTTGTGTAGTCATAGGTTTTCATTTCTTTTGAGTACGTAACAGAGTAAAATGTCTCAGTCATATGGTGATACTATTTATAGCATTTTGAATAATTGCCAAATTGTTCTTTAAATCGGTTGTTTTTTACACTCCCACATACAATGTGTGAGGCTTTCATATTTTTGATATCTTTGGCAACCTTTTTTATTGCCTTTTACAGGTCTTCTAGTAAGTACGTCATTGAGCTTTTGATTTGCATTTCTCTAAACTAATAATGTCACATATTTTAAATTTAATGACAAATTTTGCTTCTTATCTGTAGAAATTTTTAATTCAAATTCCTTGCACATTTTTCAAGTAGTCAATTGTCTATTTATTATTGATTTATAAGACTTTGTGTATTTGAGCAAGATGGCTGAATAGACAAACCAAGGTGGAACAGCTGACACCAAGGGACCAGGATGACTGGCACACTCTTAACCGAGGGCAGGTACTGATAGTGGAAGGAGGAAAGACACAACATCTGAACTTAAGATTCAGAAGCTGGGAACCCTGCACAGGGCTAAAGCACAGTGGAACTGATTTCTGGCCCCCAGTGACTCTGAGAAAAACAGGTGAGTTTAAGTGGCAAGGAGCTACCTGCTTTCCTGACTGGCCTCTGGAATCCCACCGGCAGAGACCCTCTGACCATCATGGAAAATGAGTTGAAAGGAAGAGCTGCTTAGAGAAGTGACAGGGGCAGCACACCAGCCAGTGCACAGCCAAGAGGGTTTATTGTGGGAACATGTGTAGTGAAGCATGTCCAGGGATGCCCACACCAATAAGCTTAACTTGCTCCCACAAGAGACGTTAGCCCTAGGGGAAATTTTGGACAAAAAGTCTGCAGGGTGGTGGCGCATCAGATGGGGCTGTTTTGACCTGAGCTTGCGTTGGTGTGCTGGCCTCTCCTGCGACCCCAATTCGGCCCTGCATGCTTGCAGTGCAGCCTTGAGTACCCTGGGGGCCTGCATCATAGATCCTGAACTGGCAGATCATGTCTGACTAGTAGACAGCTCCAGTGGGGTGGCCCCATCCAGGCATCAGCCTGCCTGCTGCCTCTCCTCACTGCAGCTTCCCCCCAAGGCCCATTGCCTCCCCACACATCACTATGCTGGTGTGTGTGTGTGTGTGTGTGTGTGTGTGTGTGTGCATGGAAGGATCTTGCTTTCCCTGCCCTGTCAGTGCACATGTGCATATGCATTCTGCCCTGGCACTGCTGTTGGTAGGAGTGTACTCCAGGCCCCCTCTCCTGCTATACCACCACTGCAGACAGAATCTTGGAGGAAACAGAGGCCATCAGCCCCACAACACCAGCACCCTGCTCCTTTGTCAACACTGTCATTTGAGTACAACTAAGCACAAAAAACAGCATACTCTCCTCAGCCCTGAGCAGCCACCTTCGCCTGCATGAATACACACAAAACCACTCGACTGAGCCAACCTTATAACACAATTAAACCCTTAAGGTCATCAAGCAGAATAAAAGGAAAAATCCAAAAGTTGACAACTTCAAATATTAAAGAAATATCACCCCAGAAAGATAAGAAAGAACAAGCACAAAACCTCTGACAACTCAAAAAACCTGAGTTCCTCTTTTCCTTCAAATGGCCACACTACCTCTCCAGTAAGGTTATAAATCAGTCCAAGATAGCTAAAATTACAGAAATCAAATTCAGAATATGAATAGAAATAAAGATCATTAAAATGCAGAAGTAACTTGAAACTCAATTCAAAAACGTTAAGAATCATAATGAAATGATACAGGAGCTGAGAGACAAAAGAGCCAGTATTAAGAGCATAACTAACCTGAGAGAGCTAAAAAAATCACACTAAATTTTTTTATAAGAAATTCACAACTATTAATAGTAGAATAGACAAAGCTAAGAAAGAATCTCAGAGTTTGAAGACTGTTTATGTGAAGTCAGACATACAGACAGAAATAAAAAAGAGTAATAAAAACCCCCAAGCCTCTGAAAAATATAAGATTATGTAAAGAGACCAAAGGTATGACCCACTGGTGTTCATGAAACAGGTGAGGAGAATGGAAGCCATTTGAAAAACATATTTTAGGATATCATTCATGAGAACTTCCCCAACCTGGGGAATGCTGGCTAGAGAGGCCAGCATTCAAATTTAGGAAATGCAGAAAACTCCAGTAAGATACTTCATAATATAATAATCACCAAAACACATAGTTATCAGATTGTTCAAGCATGAAATAAAAGAAAAAATGACAAATGCAGCTAGAGAGGAAAGGGAGGTCAACCACAAAGGAAAGATTATCAGTGTAAAAGTACGCCTTTTAGCAGAAATCCTACAAGCCAGAAGAGACCAATACCAATATTTAACCTCCTTGAAGAAAATAAATTCCAATCAACAATCTCGTATTTGGCCAAACTAAGCTTCATAAGTAAAGGAGAAATAAAGTTCTTTTTAAACAGGCAAATGCTGAGGAAATTCATTACTACAAGACATGCCTTACAAGAGCTCCTGAAGGAAGAACTAAATATAGGTGAAAAAAACCTTTATTAGCCACTAAAAAAACACACTGAGGTATACAGACCAGTTACGCACAAACAAGTCTGCATAATAAGCAGCTACCATTATAATGGCAGCATCAAATGCACACATATCAACACTAACTATGAATGTAAATGGGCTGAATGTTCCAATTAAAAGGCAAACAGTGGGAAACTGGATAAAGAACAAAGAACCAATGATATGCTGTCATCAAGACTCATTTCACATGCAATCAGTTTCATAGGCTGAAAATGACGGGATAAAAAATCTACCAAGCAAATGGAAAACAGAAGAAAGAATGGGTTGCAACCCTAATTTTAGACAAACAGACTTTAAAACAACAAAGATTTAAAAAGGCAAAAAGGCATTACAAAATGCTAAAGGGTTAAATTCAACAAGAATATATGTATTCAAATTTAAATATATACATTTTAAATATATACACACCCAACACAGGAACACCCAAATTCATAAAGCAAGTTCTTAGAGGTCTTTAAAAAGACTGAGATTCCTACACAATTATAGTGAAAAACTTCAACAACCCATTTACAATATTAGATTATTAAGGCAGAAAATTAACAAGATATTCAAGATCTGAATGCAGCACTGGATCAAATGGATGTAACAGACACTTTCAGAACTCTCCACCAAAAACAACAACATATACGTTCTCATTGCCACATGGCACATACTCTAAAATCAACCACTTAATCGACATAAAACTGTTCTCAGAAATTATAAAAGAATTCAAATTATGACAACCACTCTCTGAGACCAGAGTATAGTAAAATTGGAGGTAAAAGTTGAGAAAACCAATACTCAATACCATATGATTACATAAAAATTAAATAACTCACTCCTGAATGACTTTTGTGTGAATAATGAAATTAAGACATCAATCAAAAAGTTATTTGAAACTAATGAGAACAAAGACACAACCTACCAGAATCCCTGAGATGCAACTAAATCAGTGTTGAGAAAAAAACTGATGTTGCTGAACACCCACCACAAAAAGTAACAAAGATCTCAATTTAACCACTCAATATCACAACTAAAACATCTAGAGAATGAAGAGCTATCCAACCCCAAAGCTGGAAGAAGACAGAAATAACCAAAATCAGAGATAAACTGAGATTAGGACACACACAAAAAAACTAAAAGATTAATGAATCCAGGAGTAGGTTTTGTTTTAAATGTGGACTACTAGCTAGACTAATATAGAGGAAAAGAGAGAAGATCCAAATAAAGACAATCAGAAACAACAAAGGGGATATTACCACTGGCTCCTCAGAAATAGAAATAAACATCAGAGAATATGATGAACACCTTTATGCAAAAAAACTACAACACCTAGAACAAATAGATAAATTCCTGGACATGTACACCTTTCCAAGACTGAACCAGGAAGAAATTGAATCCCTGAACAGACCAATAACATGCTCCAAAATTGAATCTGTAATAAATAGACTATCAATTTTAAAAAGCCAAGGAAAAGATGAATTCCCAGCCAAATTCTACTGGATATGCAAAGAAGAATTTGGTATCATTCCTACTGAAACTCCCAAAAATTTGAGGAGGATCATCTTCTTCCTCACTCATCCTATGAGGCCAGCACCCTTCTGATATCAAAACCTGGAAGAAAAGCAAAAGAAAGAAAAATTTCATATCTTTGATGAATATTGATGCAAAAATTCTCCATAAAATACTGGCAAACCAAATCCAGCAGCATACCAAAAAGCCTATCCACCACAATCAAGTAGGCTTTTTCCCTGGGATGCAAGGTTGGTTCAACATATGCAAATCAATAAATGTGATTCATAATACAAACAGAACTAAAGACAAAAACCTCATGATTATTGTAATAGATGCAGAAAGAGCTTTTATTAAAATTCAAAACCACTTTATGTTAAAACTCTCCATATACTAGGTATTGAGGAAACATGCTTTGAAATAATAAAAGTCATCTATGACAAACCCACAGCCAACATTATACTGAATGGGTGAAACTGGAAGCATTTTTCTTGGAAACTGGCACAAGACAAAGATGCCCTCTCTTACCAGCCCTGTTCAACATAGTGTTGAAAATCCTGGCCAGAGCAATCAGACAAGAGAAAAAAATAAAGGCATTCAAATAAGAGGAGAGGAAGTCAAACTACCCATTTGCAGATTGTATTAGTCAGTGTTCTGTGTTTATGGATTGGAAGAATCAATATTAAAATGTCCATGCTACACAAAGCAAGCTACAGATTCAACGCAATTTCTGTAAAAATACCATTGACATTCCTCACACAAATAAATACAACAGCTCTAAAAAATCTTAAATTTATATATAATCACAAAAGACCTAGAATAGCTAAAGCTATCCTGAGCAAAAAGAATAAAACTGGAGGAATCCCATTACATAGCATACATTATTACATTACACAAAATTATACTACCGATGTGTAGTAACCAAAACAGCATAGTACTGGCATAAAAACAGACACACAGGAAAATGGAGCAGAATAGAGAACCCAGAACCAAACCATCCATCTACAGTGAACTCATTTTTTACATAGGCACCAAGAAAATATATTAAGAATAAAAACTCAGTCTCTTCAATAAACAGTGATGGTAAATCTGGATATCCATATGCAGAGGAATAAAACTAGACCTCTATCTTTTGCCACGTGCAAAAACTAAATCAAAATGGATTAAATATTTAAATGTAAAACTGCAAACTATAAAACTTCTGAAAGAAAACATTGGGGAAATTCTAAAAAACCTTGGATTAAGCAAAGATTTCTTGAGTAACACCTCACAAGCACAGGCAACCAAAGCAAAATGGAAAATTGGTATCACACCAAGTTATAAAATTTTGCATGGCACAGAAAAGAATCAACAAAGTGAGAAAACAACCCACAGAATGAAAGAAAATATTTTCAAACTACCTATCTGAAAATGGATTTGTAACCAAAACATAGAAGGCGCTCAAATAACTCTATAGAAAATAAAATCTAATAATCCTATTTTAAAAAATAGGCAAAATATGTAAACAGACATTACTCCAATAAAGACACGCAAATGGCAAATAGGTATATGAAAAGATGATCAACATCATGAATCATCAGAGAAATGCAAATCAAAATTACAATGAGCTATTACCGCACCCCAGTTAAAGTGGGTTTTAGCTAAAAGGCAATAACAAATGCTGACAAGCATGCGGAGAAAAGGGAACCCTCATATGCTGTTGGTGGGAATGTAAGTTGGTGGAACCACTATGGAGAACAGCTTGAAGGTTCATCAGAAAACTAAAAATAGAGCTTCTGTACAATCCAGCAATTTCACTGTTAGGTATATATCCAAAAGAGAGAAAAATCTGTGTATCAAAGTGATAGCTGTACTCCTGTGTTTATTGCAACACTATTCACAATAGCCAAGATTTGGAAGTAACATAGGTGTTTATCGACAGATGAATAAACAAAAAAGTGGTACATATACACAATGTAGTACTATTCAGACATAAAAATGAATGAGATTCTGTCATTTGTAACAACATGGGTTAAACTGAAGGTCATTTTATTAAGTGAAATAAGACAGGTATAGAAAGACAAACTTCACACGTTCTCACTTATTTGTTAAAGCTAAAAATTAAAACAAAAGAATTAATGGAGATAAAGAGTAGAATGATGGTCTCCAGAGGCTGAGAGAAGTAGTAGAAGGTTGAGGGTGGGGAGGTGGGAATGGTTAATGGGTATAAAAATATAGTTAGAAAGAATGAATCAGTTCTAGCATTTGACGGCACGAGGTGACTCTAGTTAAGAATAATTTAAGTGTACATTTTAAAATAACAGAAATTGTATAATTTGGTTATTTGAAATCCAATAGTAATACTTCATGTGATGAATACCCCATTAACTCTGATGTAATTATTACACATTGTATGACGGTATCAAAATATTCTATATACTTCATAAAGGTATACACCTACTATGCACCCAGAAAAACCAAAAATCAAAAAATTAGGATATACCTTAAGACAACAAATACTATTACTAGAGATGAAGATAGATTATAATTAGAAGGATAAATTCATGAGGAAAATAAATTAACATATATGAATGTAACAAAAGTTCACAGAAGTACATAAAGCAAAACTGATAGAAATAAAGGCAGAAATAGTTGCAACAATAGTTTCAACAATAAAAATTGCAAGCTGCACTTCCCCACTTACACTATTGGGTAGAAGAACTAGACATAAGAGAAACAAGGAAATAGAAGACATGAATAACATAAACCAAATAAAACTAGAGATATATGGAGAACTCTTCACCCCAAATCAGAATGTATATTCTTCCCAAATGCACATAGAACATTCTCTAGAATGGAGAATATGCTGCATCATAAAAAAAATCAATAAAATTGAAAGATTGAAATAATAAAATGAATGTTTTCTAATCACAAAAGAGAAAATTAGAGACCAAAAAAGCAAGAAATTTGGGAAATGCAAACATGTGTGCATTAAATGACACAATCTTAAATAATTAATGAATAAAAAATGTACAAATAGTGTCAGAGAATATTTTAACATAAATAGACATTTAGACAAAACATAATAAAATTTATGAGACTTAGTGAAAGTTGAGCTCTGAGGGAAACAGCAGAATTACTTTATAAAAAACAAAGAAATCTTAAATTAATAGCTTAATGCTTATGGAAGCATTTAAATAAAAATGAACTACCCAGTTCACCTGGAGCAAACACTATCAGTGGGGTAAAAAGGTAGTCACGCTGACAATCGTAGGAGGAAATACTTGGAAACAAGACACTGAGAATTAGGATAGTGATAGTACTCCTTGGAATCTAGAAAAAAATGGGGATGCTCTAGGCTAGACAGATTCTCAGGAAAAACGCTAAAACACTAAGCTCCCACCTGTTTGTCTTTTAATCTCTGCATGAACAGAAAGTATAGGCACAAGCAGAGTTAGGACTTTATGGCACACATAGAGATTCTAGATGAAAGGATCAGAAGATTCATATTTTGAGAGGGCTAAAATATCTACAGTCTTGCTGTCCTATTAAAGTTTAGTGAAACTATATTGCAGATTCGCATTGCTCACTTCTTCCAGTAATCCAGTGATCTAGTAAAGCTTGATTTTGCCATTTGAATCCTCTGATAAATGAAGTCAGCCTCTACCTTGAGGTACTTTTTGGGATGTTGGAGTTATGGCCACCATGACATTACTATTGGTTACACTAATTTGTAAGTCAACAATGAGCTTGCTACAGAGCTGTGAAACTGAATTCTGACCCCTGAGGGAGGTCGTTAGCTTGATCTTTCTGTTTTTAGATGGGTCGATTTGAACTCTATGAAAAAGACCACAGGAGGCCACTTGGTAAATAGAAATAACATATTCTAGAAGGAAATTAGACTAAAATAGAAACGGCACTAAAGTAAAAATTAAAATTCATATTCGGTAGAAATTTTATGCCACCCTCCACTATCTCAAGCAAAATTTCTGACTCTGTGGGACTCCCCAATTTACTGAATATTTTCTAAATATCTGTTCCTGGTTCACTAATGGGCCAGGGAAGATGACACCTCATGGTGTTCACTGGGCTGGTGTGGGTGTTTTATCTCATTGTCAGCCAATGAAGAACCTGAATCTGGGGTGATTACTTCACTCAATTGTCAGAACTGAGAGTTCTGGGTTATTGCCACATTCTACGTGTTTAGGCTTCCATATTCAAAATGATTAACTGTCTAATTAAGAACATCTTCTTTGGGACTGCAAACTGAAATTTATCTTAGCTGCTGATCTAATTGTCAGGCCATTAATTTAGAAGTTCACAATTAGGGTTATGTCTCCAAAGAGATGAACAACAATCAAGCCTAAATCCCTGTCTACTGCAGAGGTCATCACTGCATGCCAGGTTGGTGGTTCTTGGAGAAAGTTGATCTACGTGTCCCATGTATGGGGAAGTCCCAGACCATTTCTGGCAGAATGACTGTCTTAGACTTTTGACCCGTTACTTGAAGTATTTGTCACTACTGTTGACACTTTCAGCATAAAGATCAGCTGACTCCAGCCACATTATGTGTTACTTGAAGCTAATCTATGTCATCTTTTAGGTATTTGAGACCGCTTAAATTCTCTCTTTTTTTTTTTTTTTTTTTGCTTTTATCACCATATCTATTAAAATGAGCCAATAGTCTCATTTTAACTTATTTTCCTCATCAGGGTCCACAGCTTTTGGTTAGGTAATGTGTTGATTAAATGGTTTATTAGTCACCTTCTTTGGTCCCAGAAGAGATTATCTCCTGTTGACTGTCTCTAAGATATAGATAACATTGTTATTGAGTAAAAGGAGCTCACTTCTTGAAGTGCTAGAAGCCAATACTATGACATCAGGTTTTTAAGAGAAAGCAATTTTATACTGAAACGTTACTCTCAAGCTCATTGCCTCCTCATGGATCTCATGGGCAAACTGAAGGGGAGTTGTGATGAAACAGGCAGTGAAAATTCAGACGGTGACCTCAGCAAGGTGATTCTGCCAAAACACCATTTGGCCATAATGATTCCACCAATTTAAGCCAGTTTGTTTATTTCATAAGTAGAGGGAGTTTCAGTGTTTTGGTAAGTTGTGTTTTTGGTTTTTTTTTCTTTTCTGTTATTCTGCAAGCTCAAGATTTTCTGTTAGATACTGGCTTTCTTTTAACTCTGCAGAAGTGTTGCAAAATGATTGGGGCTATAGGAATCTATTTTCCAAATTTGAGGTTCCACACTGACATTCCTGGGCAAGATGTGATTTCTCCTAACTGCAACCTCCAGGCAGCCTGGTTTGTATGATTTCTGAGTAGCAGCCCAGTCAAAAAAGGGGTTATGGAACTCCAATTTAGTTCTGATTATGGTGTATATAAACATTCTTGTCTCTATTACAACTGGATCTACTACATAAAATGTCTACAGCAAAATAGGAGGGGATCAGATAAAGGTACAATTATAAGTATTGGAATGGATCACATTAATTCTGAAGATATAGAAGGGGAGCAACAACCTGAAACCAGGGGAGTGAACGACTTAGATCTCAGGAGCTATGGGAAATGGATAGGCATGAATAGCCTCTTTTCCTTCTGAATTGCCCCTGGCACACTCCAGAAAAGTCTGGCAATAATTTTGGGATAGGATGAGAGTAGGGTTAGTTAGACCAGGTGGAAGTGCAAAGACTAAGTTTATTTTTTCCATTCCATCCCCCATATCACCCTTAAGAATCCTTTGGGCTGGGCACAGCAGCTCACACCCAGCACTTTAGGTGACCAAGGAGGGTGGATAACGAGGTCAGGAAATCGAGACCATCTGGCCAACATGGTGGAACCCAGTCTGTACTAAAAATATAAAAATTAGCCAGGCAAGGTGGCACATGCCTGTAGTCCCAGCTATTTGGGAGGCTGAGGCAGGAGAATTGCTTCAACCTGAGAGACCAAGGTTGCTGTGAGCTGAGATGATGCCACTGCACTCCATCTTGGATGACAGAGGAAGACTCCATCTCAAAAAAAAAAAAAAAAATCCTTTGTAATTATCCCATTTCTCTGCAATGTAGTAATGAAATTCTAGTGAGGAGCATGCGTTCTCAGTGCCCAGTTGTCTGAGGCCACAGTTGAGTTGCTTCAGGGAAAAAACAAAAGAAAAAAAACCAAAACCAAAACACAAAAGCAAAAGCAAAAACAAAAACAAAAAACCCTATTGCTTTTGTTTTTTTCTAAAAAGATTAAATGCCCCATGGTTTAAAATAAGCTGGCTCTACAAAACATTGAATTCATCTTTTATTTTCTCTGTGAGCAGAGGCTCCTCCTTCTGTTTTTCTACCATCTAGAGATGAATCTATATTTGTCAATATTGACATAAATTGGAGACATAAATCATGTAAGAACCCTAGACAAGCCTTCAAGATAATCTGAGTCTTGCTCGTTTCTCTTCTCAATTATGTTGTCAGAGAGAGCTACCTGAGATGAAGTCTCTCAGGAATAGTTAGAACATTGCACTTCTAGAGAAGATGGTGAGACAGGGCAAGACTCACAGTGAGAATAAAAGCTTCTTCTCAATCTTTCAGTGTATCTGTTTCTGGTAGATGAATCCAGAAAAGATTCCAGAGCCAGGGAAGAGCTATTTGAGAGGGTAGAATCACTGTAGATCAGAGTACTAGGTCATATGTTTATTAGTCACCTTATTTGGTCATATTCTCAGTGCTAAGCCTCTGATAGGGCTTCAGAGCAATGTATGCCTGTGAAAATCTCTAATTCCATTTGAAAGATGAAGTTCTGGCTCTGGGAGAAGTCTCCTATCTGACAGAACATCATGCTTCTGTGGGCATGAGATTCTGTGCCCTTCCTCAGCAGACACCACTGACTCAATAATTGTTTAAGAATCATGCATAAATAGGCCTTCCTTATCATGAATCTCTTAAATAACAAAACAGAGAAAACCCATTTATCCACGTTCAAATTGAATAAGAGTGTAAGAAACTTCACAGAAATTGTTATAGAAGGAAACTCTTGGGCTCTGTCCATCCCCAGAAATCTCAAAATTCTGGCACAATCTGTTACAATTAACCTTATCAGAGCTTGAATTTTTTTTTTGCTATATATATTTACCTTTAATTGGACCTTAATTTTGTTATATGTTTTAATTTAATTTTATTTTTTTGATGGAGTCTTGCTGTGTCTCCGAGGCTGGAGTGCACTGGTGTGATCTCAGCTCACTGAAAGCTCCACCTCCTGGGTTCACACCTTTTTCCTGCCTCAGCTTCCCTAGTAGCGGGGACTACAGGCGCCCGCCACCACACCCAGCAATGTTTTTGGACTTTTAGTAGAGACGGGGTTTCACCGTATTAGCCAGGATGGTCTCGATCTCCTGACCTTGTGATCCGCCTGCCTTGACATCCCAAAGTGCTTGGATTACAGGCTTGAGCCATCATGCCCGGCCAAGGATAAACCATTTTTTAACCTTTGTGATAGAAACATCAAATTCCCATATCCCAAGCATTAATAATACTGTCCACTGCAATTGTTATTGCTTATTAACTTTTTGCTATGGTCTGGATATTTGTGTTCCTCACTCTCCACATTCATATTTAAAAACTTAATCCACACGTGGATTCAGTGTGATACTATTAGTTATTAGAACTTTGAGAAAGTTATTAAGTCAGGAGGGCTGCATGTTAACGAGAAAATAATAGTGCCCGTGTGACGGAGGTTGAAAGGAATATTCATGCCCCTTCTGTCGTGTGAAGACATAGCTAGAAGGTGCTACTTGTGAGGAACAGAACCTCACAAGAAAGAGCCTCAGAAAGTTGTTATACAGCAGAACATCTTTCTCTCTTGAGAGATTCTGGCCAACAGTGCTGTATGGTGGACTGTCTTTAGAATGTGAGTTTTTGGTTACCAGAATACTTAGTACTGTTAGGACCTTTCACCAAAGAAATGAGGTCACTTCTTGAAGGTATTATTCTTCTTTCAATAAGACCTATCTTCCTTCAATAAGACCTACTCAAAGGCTTTTCTGCACTGCTGACTGCTCACCATTCTCTCCCAAGTCATCTGATTACTTGTGCACAATTATGCAAATACAGCACCTCCTGCACCAGTGCCGGAGGAAATGGAATGCAGCCAGAGCCACAAGTTTGAGGATACAAGCTGAGTTAAAGTCTTTATGTTTAATGTATTAATTCTGTGATGCCAAGTATGTCATTGTGCCTCTCAGGGGCTCCACAGTCTCACAGCCTGCACAGTGGGGATTATGGTGGCATCCAGCTGCAAGGGATCTCATGAGATATGTATAAAATGATACGCATGACTGTTGGGTTTGATATTAAACACAGCTACTGCATAAACTTAGAGAAAGAAACTACAAGGGATGGGACATTGCTTGAATATCTCTCAAACATGCCTGGGTTTTATAACTTGAATGTTGAGAAAGTCATGTCCCCTCTTGAATTTATTTTTCAAACTCCATCATGAAAACATTGAAATTGAATAAAATTTAGATGTTGTTATTCTTTGGCCAGAACAACAACAATAACAACAACACACATTGTAGTACCTTCTCGTTATATTTAGAATCAGGCCCATTTGTCTCACCTTGGCATACGTAGTGCACAGCCTTCATGATGGCTCATAATAATTTTTATTTCCAACTATACACACCCAAATGTAAACAGTAAGTGGTTAGTGACTCACTTCATGGCAGTAGAATACATTGGAAAATAGGGAATGTCACTGCCAATATTTGATTATGAAAAGATTGTCACTTGCTTCTTACTTTCTCTCTCTTGTGATATTGTTTACTTCCTTTTTTCCTGTCTTTCTCTCTGTCTGTCGCATACTTTGCTCTGGAGAAGCGAGCTTCAATGTTTTAAGCTTTCATTTTTACAGGCTTGTGTGACAGAGAATGGAGACAGTGCCCTGACCAAAGACACAAAGAAACTAAGAACTGAGTCAAAACAATAATGCACAACTAACCAGATTGAGCTCAGAAGTGCATCCTTCCCAGTCAAGCTTCAGTTGAGACACAGCTTCAGTCTCATGAGTGAGAGGTGACAGCATGCTGGCAGCCCTCACAGCCCTCGCTCACTCTTGGTGCCTCCTCGGCCTTGGCGCCCACTCTGGCCGCGCTTGAGGAGCCCTTCAGCTCACCGCTGCACTGTGGGAGCCCCTTTCTCAGCAGGCCAATGCCGGAGCCGGCTCCCTTATCTTGCGGGGAGCGGGCAGGAACCGCGGCTGCCCGCGGTGCTTCCGGGCCAGCGCGAGTTCCGGGTGGGCGTGGGCTTGGCGGCCCCGCACTTGGAGCGGCCAGCTGGCCCCGCCAGCCACAGGCAGTGAGGGGCTCAGCACCTGGGCCAGCAGCTGCTGTGCTCGACTTCTCGCCAGGCCTTAGCTGCCTCCCCACGGGGCAGGGCTCGGGAACTGCAGCCCGCCTTGCCTGAGCCTCTCCCCCACTCCTGCCAAGGGCTCCTGTGCGGCCCGAGCCTCCCCAACGAGCTCCACCCCCTGTTCCATGGCACCCAGTCCCATCGACAACCCAAGGGCTGAGGAGTTCGGGAGCACAGCGTGTGACTGGCAGGCAGGCAGCTCCACCTGCGGCCCTGGTGCGGGATCCACTGGGTGAAGCCAGCTGGGCTCCTGAGTCTGGTGGGGACTTGGAGAAACTTTATGTCTAGATAAGGGATTGTAAATACACCAGTCGACACTTTGTATCTAGCTCAAGGTTTATAAACACACAAATCAGCACCCCGTGTCTAGCTCAGGGTTTGTAAATACACCAATCAACACTCTGTATCTAGCTAATCTAGTAGAGACGTGGTGAACTTTGTGTCTAGCTCAAGGATTGTAAATGCATCAATCAGCACCCTGTGAAAAGGGACCAATCAGCTCTCTGTAAAACAGACCAATTGGCTCTCTGTAAAATGGACCAATCAGCAGGATGTGGGTGGGGCCAGATAAGAGAATAAAAGCAGCTGCCCGAGCCAGCAGTGGCAACCCTCTCGGGTCCCCATCCACACTGTGGAAGCTTTGTTCTTTCGCTCTTTGCAATAAATCCTGCTGCTGCTCACTCTTTGGGTCCACACTGCCTTTATGAGCTGTAACACTCACCACAAAGGTCTGCAGCTTCACTCCTGAGCCAGAAAGACCACGAACCCACCAGAAGAAAGAAACTCCAAACACATGCTGACATTAGAAGGGAAAAACTCCAGGCACGCTGCCTTTAAGAACTGTAACACTCACCGTGAGGGTCCGCGGCTTCATTCTTGAAGTCAGTGAGACCAAGAACCGACCAATTCCGGACACATGAGGACATTGTGGTAGACCCATTCAACTAAGCTGTGTCAGTATTTGTAGCCAACAGAAAATAAGACATAATGCATATTTGGAATTTTAAGCCACTACACATTGAGCTAATGAGTAGAATTATTTTTTCTAATTTTATTTACTGATTGCCCTTAGTTACTGTATAAAAGTGCAATTTAATATTGTGCATTTATCTTGTATATTGTGACCTGCTGAACTCATTTATTAGTTCCAGTTGATTTTTGTAAACTCTTTAAAAATTCTTGAATATAAGTTGATGCCATTTACAATAAAAGTTTATTTTATAAATTTAGAAGTTTTATTTGTTTTTATTATATAATTTCTCTGCCTAACACCTTTAGTTCAATTTAGTAGAGTAGCGAAAGTAGCCATGCTTATCTGTTTCCCACAACTGTGAGGCAAAGAGCCTAGTCTTTCATCAGCAAGTGTAATATTAGTGGGAAATTTTTATGAATCCTTTTTAGTAGTTCCAGTAAGTTTTTCCTTCCTAGTATGTTAAGGATTTTATAATGAATCAGTGTTGTTTGTATCACAAGCTTTTCTGTGTCTATTAAAAGGATCATTTTATGTTCTTCACTTTATCAATGTTGTGTATTAGATTATTGGTTTTTAGATATTAAGCCACTTCATTTGTAAAAAGATTGTACTTGGCCATGGTGTATAATTACTTTTACGTGTTTCTGTATTTAACTTATTAGTACTTTTTGAGAATTATGTGTCTTTATTTATCAGCCATATGTACCCATATTAATCCTAACACATGATGGGTTTGTCTGGCTTCGGTATAGTAATATTGGCCTCATAAAGTAGTTAGGGGTTGTTTATCTCTTATCTATGTATGGTGTGTATTTGTAAAGGATTGGTATTTTTATGAAATATTTTGTATAATTTAACAGTTAAAGTATTTGACTCTGATTTTTCTTTGTGGTAAGATTTTTAAAATAATTTAATCTTTCATTATAGGTCTCATATCTCCCACTTCTTGAGCTTCATTTGTTAAATTGGGCCTATCAAGTTATTTACTTCTAATTTGTAACAATCCATGTTTCCAGATCTAGACAGCTGGTATGCCTGTTATGTGGGATAATGTAGCTTTGTGAAAGTTTTACGTATTATGTGGGATAATGTAGCTTTGTTAAAATCAATAAATAGCCAAGTTTTTCCTCAGCTTAAGGATTGAGACTATAATTTTTAGACTTCATACTTGCATGTATTGCCTGAGTCAAAAAAGCTATTACATCTAAAAGAAACCAGTGAAACATATCATTTGACATGAAGTTTTATCAAAATGACACATTAGCCTAACCCCTTTTTCACAAATATTTAGAAAAGAAAAGAATAAATTTAAATAAGATTACAAAATAATTTAGTCAATAAAGAATATTATAAGGAATAAAAATTTAATGAATCAGGGTTATTAGTACTTAGTAGCCCCTACAATGTTTTAGAAATTATTCTAAGTCATTTACCCACATATACTTAATAACTGAGTCTAAAATATATAATACAGAAATTTGTTAATAATGACAAATTGAAATATTTACAATTATATTAAATGACATTAAGACCATCAGAAATCAAATGTTTAACATACAGTAACTAAATAAACACAAGTAATGATAACTTTATTAGAAAGTATGACTACTAGCAAGAGAGAAAAATTAATAAAATTTTTCAGCAGTGAACCAAAGATACACACTGTATGACAGAGGGGGAAAATAAATGGCAAGGGTTTAGGCCTAACAATATCATTCATTTTATGAGAGCAGAAATTCAACAGCTCATATCTTTTAGGACACTAAAATGACAGTAGAAATTCTAAATTGTACTCAACAAGTAATATTTAGCCATGCACAAATTTTGTTTCATTAAATTAATTTATAACATAAATATAAGATTCCATGAATTATTTTTGTGAGGTCAAGGACATACTAAAAGGAAGCACAGAGTTCTGTTCTCTGTAGTTAAGTATATATTTTCATAAAGGCACATAAAAGAAAATTTTAAGTATCAAAAGAACTACCCCTTACAAGTGACTATTACTACATATTTGAGAGAGATGTTTTGAATGAAGAAACGGAATATCTCATAAGATGTGGTTGTATGCTGCCCAATGCCTATGAAATATTCTACTCATGTGTACACTGCATATTTGTGCTTTCAGAAGAAAAGGCTACATATTTTTAAATATTTTAGTGTAGACAAGTAAAAGTTCTCAAGAAGCTACAAGAACTATGAAAATAATGAATACAGTTTAAAAATATAGAAGCACTTGATGAAAGCTAAAGTAAATCAAGAGAATAAGCCAGAGAAGTAATCAAACTGAAAAAAAGTGGTCCCTTCAGATACTGATAGATCATAAGGATGTCAAGTCTGTATGCTGTCCACCTTCCTCCAAGGGAAAATGGAATAAGCACAGAAATAACATGACTACAGACATCTCAAATGTGATATTTCCCAAATATTGGAACCAAGTTAAAAACTAAAGAACACAAGTAAATAAAAAGAAATTTCTGAAGAAAAACTAGGCCACCATTTTCCATATTCAAATATCATATTTGAATCACAGCTCGGTAGAATGTAAAGAATAAAAAAATTAGGACAAGGTATAGGTGAAACACTAAATTAAACAGAGATAAAAAATTACCTGAGTATTGAATAGAATGAATATAACCAAATATAGTAAAGAGAGATGACATATTATAAGATATAGTTTTAACAAGATAAAGGCTGGGATGAGACGCTAAACATCTTAATTATTTTATTAGAACAAAAAGTATGAATGAGGCAGAGCAAATAAGGCCAGCCCGATCCAAGATTTGGGAAAAGAAAATCTTTCCCTCCATGGAAGCAGCCCCAAGTGTACATTGCAGAGGGCCCAGATCAGAGAGGAATGAGAAGTGGTTGCCATTCTTGCAATCAGTGTTATGCGTTTTCTTGCAGCCCAGGTTTATATAACTGTTCTAAGTCCAGTAAATTGTCTATAGCTGCACATCTATTAAGAGGCTGAGACAGCAGTCAGGACCAACTTTGCTAAATGTCCATAAACTACTCTACCTCATGGAAATTCTCTGGATCTTGGAGACTCTGGAGAGTGACGCTTCTGCAAATAGAGGCATAATTTATTTGAGATTTTTATCCATCTGTTATTATCCTTTACTGTTAGGAATAATCTTCTCTGAAAAATGCTTTTGACCCACCTTGGAAGGTCTTTTAATAGTTTGGGAAAGTGGGGCATGGCAAGGTGGCTCATGCCTGTAATCCCAGCACTTTGGGAGGCTGAGATGGGTGAATCATGAGGTCAGGAGATCCAGACCATCCTGGATAATACGGTGAAACCCTGTCTCTACTAAAAATACAAAAAAGTAGTCGGGCGTGGTGGCAGGTGCCTGTAGTCCCAGCTACTTGGGAGGCTGAGGCAGGAGAATGGCATGAACACGGGAGGTGGAGCTTGCAGTGAGCCGAGATAGCTCCACTGCACTCCAGCCTGAGAGACAGAGCAAGACTCCGTCTCAAAACAAAAAAAAAAAAAATTGGGAAAATGGCTGAGGGCTGAGGTTAGAAATCCAAGGTAAAACATTATGTTATATATTTTACATCATAGAAGAAATTTGAAAACACATAGAATACAATCCGCTATTCATAATTTTTTTTGAGCATTTTCAGGCTATGTTTTTGACATAGACTAAGTTGAATTACTGTGCCAGAGACAATCTCGTGTCTAAAAGCAAGTGACATAAAAATAGATCTGCAAAGATACATTTTCTCCTGCTGCAATTTAAGTAAACAGCTGAGTACATCTTCAAGTTGTACTTTGAGTTCAGTAAGATAAATCTGTTTTTTAAGACTCCAAATCTAGCACTAACAATGGGTCAAATCCCTGCAACAGACATGAAAATCACAAACAGCTAATGCGTTCCTCATCCTGAAATTCTCGCTGCCAGCACAGCAGTCTGAAGTTGACCTGGGCCAATTGAGGTCAGTTGGAGGGAGTGGAGTCCACCATTACTGAGGCTTTAGTAGACAGTTTTCCCCTGACAGTGCCAAGGAGGCTGGAAGGTCCGGGTTGGGTGCAGCAAAGTGGCTGTGGCAGACTGCTTCTTTAGAGTCCTCCTCATTGGGCAGGTCATATTTGAAGGAAAGGTAACAGCCCTAGTCAGAGGCTTACACAGAAAACCTCCATCTCCCTGGGACAGAGCACATGGGGGAAGGGGAGGCTGTGGGTGCAGCTTCAGTGGATTTCATCATTCCTGCCTGCTGGCTCTGAAGAGAGCAGCTGATTTTGACTAGAGGGATTCTGCCAGCACAGTGCACCAGCTCTGCTAAGAGACAGACTGTCTCCTCAAGTGGGTTCCCCGTGACTCCTGACTGGGAGAAACCTCCTAACAGGGGTTGACAGACACCTCATACAAAAGGGCTCCAGTTGGCATTGGGCGGGTATCCTCCTGGGATGAAGTTTCCAGAAGAAGGAGAAGGCAGCAATCTTTGCTGTTCTGCAGCCTTTACTGGTGACACCCAGGTGAACAGGGTCTGGATTGGAACTCCAGCAAACTGCACTGGACCTGCAGAAGAACCTTGCTGTTAGAAGAAAAACTAACAAGCAGAAAGCAACAACATCAACATCAACAGAAAGGACCCCCCCAAAAAAAACCCCATCCAAATGTCATCAGCCCCAAAGATTGAAAGTAGATAAATCCATGAAGATGAGGAAAAAACAGCACAAAAATGCCAAAAATTCCAGAAACAAGAATGCCTTTTCTCCTCCAAATGATCACAACACCTCTCCAGTAATGACACAAAACTGGATGGAGAATGAGATTGAAGAATTGACAGAAGTAGTCTTCAGAAGGTGGGTAATAATAAACTCCTCTGAGCTAAAGAAGCATGTTCTAACACAATGCAAAGAAGCTAAGTATCTTGATAAAAGGTTATGGGAACTGCTAACTAGAATAACCAGCTTAGAGAGAAACATAAATGGCCTGATGGAGCTAAACAATGCCTTTAAGTTATATGGGACTATGTGAAAAGACCAAACCTACGATTGATTGGTATACCTCAAAGTGACGGGAAGAATGGATCCAAGCTAGAAAACAAACTTTAGGATATTATCCAGGAGAACTTCCTCAACCTAGCAAGACAGGCCAACATTCAAATTCAGGAAATACAGAGAACATCACTAAGATACTCCTCGAGAAGAGCAACTCCAAGACACATAATCGCCAGACTCTCCAAGGTTGAAATGAAGGAAATAATGTTAAGGGCAGACAGAGAGAGAAGTCAGGTTACCTACAAATGGAGGCCCATCAGACTAACAGCAGATCTCTTTGCAGAAACTCTAGAAGCCAGAAGAGAGTGGGGGCCAATATTCAACATTCTTAAATAAAATAATTTTCAACTCAGAATTTCATATCCAGCCAAACTAATCTTCAAAAGCAAAGGGGAAATAAAGTCCTTCACAGACAAGCAAATGCTGAGGGATTATGTCACCACCAGGCATGCCTTACAAAAGCTCCTGAAGGAAACACTAAATATGGAAAGGAAAATATGGTTCACCACTGCAAAACCACACCAAAATATAAAGACCAATCGATACTATGAAAAAACTACATCAACGAATGTGCAAAATAACCAGCTAGCATCATGATAACAGGATCAAATTCACACATAACAATATTAACCATAAATATAAGTGGGCTAAATACCTCAATTAAGAGACAGAGCCTGGCAAATTGGTTAAACAGTCAAGAATCTTTGGTGTGCTATATTCAGGAGACACATCTCACATGCAAAGACACACATAGGCTTAAAATAAAGGGAAGGAGAAATGGCAAATGGAAAGCAAAAAAAGCAACAACAACAACAAAAAAAGCAAGGTTTCAATCCTAGTTTCTTGTAAAACAGACTTTAAACCAAGATGAAAAAAGACAAAGAAGGGCACTACATAAAGGTAAAGGGATCAATGCAACAAGAAGAGCTAACTATCCTATATATATACCTACCCAACAGAGGAGCACTGAGATTCATAAAACAAGTTCTTAGAGACCTATAAAGAGACGTAGACTCCCACACAATAACACTGGGAAGTTTTAACACCCCACTGCCAATATTAGAGAGATCAATGAGACAGAAAATTAACAAGGATATTCAGGATTTGAAATCAGCTCTGCACTAAGCGGACCTAATAGACAACTACAGAACTCTCCATGCCAGACGAACAGAATATACATTCTTCTCCATGCCACATAGCACATATTCTAGAATTGACCACATAATTGGAAGCAAAACACTCCTCAACAAATGGAAAAGAATGGCAACCATAACAAACTGTCTCTCAGACCACAGTGCAATCAAATCAGAACTCAGGATTAAGAAACTCACTCAAAACCACATAAATACATGGAAATTGAACAACCTGCTCCTGAACGACTACTGAGTAAATGACAAAATTAAGAGAGAAATTAAGGTTTTTGAAACAAATGAGAACAAAGAGACAATGTACCAGAATCTCTTGGACACAGCTAAAGCAGTTTTAAGAGGGGATATGCTAGCACTAAATGCCCACAACAGAAAGCTGGAATGATCTGAAATCGACACCCTAACATCACAATTAAAACAACTAGAGAATCAAGAGGAAACAAATTCAAAAACTAGCTGAAGGAAAGAAACAACTAAGATCAGAGCAGAACTGAAGGAGATAGAGACAAGAAAAACTGTTCAAAATCAATGACTCCACTAGCTGGTTTTTTGAAAAGATTAACAAAACAGATGGACCACTAGCTAGATTAATAAAGAAGAAAAGAGAGAAGAATCAAATAGACACATTAAAAAATGATAAACAGGATATCACCACTGATTCCACAGAAATAAAAACTACCATGAGAGAATACTATAGACGTCTCCACACAAATAAACTAGAAAATATAGAAGAAATGGATAAATTTCTGGACACATACACTTTCCCAAGACTAAGCCAGGAAGAAGTTGAATCCCTGAATAGACCAATAACAAGTTCTGAAATTGAGGCAGTAATTAATAGCCTACAAATAAAAAAACGCTCAGAACCAGATGGATTCACAGCCGAATTTTACCAGAAGCGTAAAGAGCAGCTGGTAACATTTCTTCTTAAACTATGCCAAACAATTGAAAAGGAGGGACTCCTCCCTAATTCATTTTATGAGGTCAGCATCATTCTGATACCAAAACCTCGCAAAGACACAACCGCAACAAAAATTTCAGGCCAATATCCCTGATGAACATCGATGTAAAAATCCTCAATGAAATACTGGCAAACTGAAACCAGCAGCACATCGAAAATGTTATCCACCATGATCACGTCAGCTTCATCTCTGGGATTCAAGGCTGGTTCAACGTATGCAAATTAATAAATGTAATCCATCACATAAACAGAACCAATGACAGAAACCACAGGATTTTCTCAATAGAAGCACAAAAGGCCTTTGATTAAATTTAATATCCCTTCATGTTAAAACCTCTAAATAAACTACGTATTGACGGAAAAAGTCTCGAAATAATCAGAGCTGTTTATGACAAACCCCTAGCCAATATCTTACTTAATAGGCAAGTGCCGGCAGCATTCCCTTTGAAAACCAGCACAAGACAAGGATGTCCTCCCTCAGCACTCCTATTCGAGATAGTATTGGAAGTTCTGGCCAGGGTAATCAGGCAAGTGGAAGAAATAAAGGGTATGCAAATAGGAAGAGAGGAAGTCATACTGGTACCAAAACAGATATATAGACCGATGGAACAGAACAGAGACCTCAGATTGCAGGGATATGGAGGAAGCTGGAAGCCATCATTCTCAGCAAACTAACAGGAACAGAAAACCAAACACCACATGTTCTCACTCATAAGTGAAATTTGAACAATGAAAACACATGGACACAGGGAGGGGAACATCGCACATCAGGGCTTGTCAGGGGGCAAAGTGAAGGAGAGCATTAGGACAAATATCTAATATATGTGGGGCTTAAAACCTAGCTGACAGTTTGATAGATGCAGCAAACCACCATGGCAAATATAAAACTATGTAACAAGTCTGCACATTCTGCACATGTATCCCAGAACTTAAAGTATAAATAAATAAATAAATCTCCAGCAAGGAAGGAAACCAGAGATCAGGTTGGAGTCTTGCTATTCACATCTGAGTATACAGACTCACTCCCCAACTCTCTTATTTTTATTCTGCCAGCTCTGACCTGAATATGAACATAACAGACACACAAGAGTTCCAACACCTGACAATCGGCTTCTGCCCAAGAAGTGTGCCCTCTCTTTTGTCCATCCTGCAACTCATGGTACAAAGAAGTGGTGTGGGGCTGCCCAGATGAGATGATGAGAGAGGCCTGGCCTCGATGGACATGTCCTGGGCTGCTCTGTGTTATCTGTAGGTGCACTTGGCCAATGGCCAGGGGTATCAGGAATGAGGGCTGAGTTGATATCTGTGTTATCAGAGAAGGCTTTTACATTGAGGCTTTGTAAGGCTAGAACTCAGAAATATCAAGGCACAATGAAAGGACATCTCACTCTCTTGAGCATCTCTCACCAACAGAGGTGGATACAGAGCTGTCTCAAGAATGTGGGTTCCTGGTTTCTTAACTGCTGTGGGGTTCTGTCACCAGGAAAGTGTGTTAAACTCTTCAAGGTTCCATCTACTGGGCCCCTTCTTTCTATAAGACCTACCCAAAGGCCCCACTATGCTATTGATTGCTCAGTCTCCTCTTCCATGTCAACTCTTTATTTGTACACAATTATGCAAACACAACTTCCCCTTAATTCCCTGGAAAGACCTAAATGCATCCTGGGTTCCAGGATATAAGAGACAGCTGGAAAATAACCTTGTTTTTCTTACCATCTCTGGGACCTAATAAAAGTCACTGTGTATTTGAGGCTTCCCCAGCCTCCTAGCGTGCACAGTGGGGATAATGTTATCTACTTCCTAGGGAATGTATCAGATGTATATAAGATAAAATGTAAAAATCGTGGTGTAGTTTCACATGTAAATAATGCACACACTTAGAGATGGAAGCATTAGGAGAATAGGTGGGAGGTAGCATGGGCCACAACTCAGGTAGGCCTGGGGTCCAGCAGTGTAATCTTGGGAAAGTCACTTCCCCACTGGGCTTCAGTTTCATTCTGCTGCAGTACGAGGTTGAAATTAAATGTAGATATCATCCTCTGGCACTGATGTGGTTTAGCTGTGTGTCCCCACCCAAACCTCATTTTGTATTATAACCTCCAGGTGTTAAGGGAGAAACCTGAGGGGAGTTGATTGGATTATGGGGACGGGTTTTTCTTATGCTGTTCTTGTGATAGTGAGTGAGTTCTCAAGAGATCTGATGGTTTCATAAGCTTCTGGTGTATCCCCTGCTCTCACTCACTTCACTTGTTGGCCACCATAATTGGAAGGTTTCTGAGCCTCCCCCACCCAATCTTGTGGAACTGTGAGTCAATTAAACCTCTTTTCTTTATAAATTACCCAGTCCCAGGTATTCCATCATTGCGGTATAAAAATGGACTAATACAACTATTAAACTTTCTAGTGACTTCTTATTATATATAGAATTATATCCATGTGCCTTATCTCACCTAAGTTGGGGAAAGCCTTCACAAAGTCTCCCAGCACTAGGTGGTTAGTGACTCAGTTTGTTATTGAACAAAATGACCTACTGCTCGATGCCAGTAGTATGGCACTTGGGTTTTGAGAAAAATGGCATCTTGTTGTAGGTTGGCCAACAGGAGACAGGAGTCCAGCTGAAATCAGTTTCCTTATATAGGCTTTAAGGTGTTGATTAAAAAATGCTTAAGAAGTGGGCTCTGGATTAGGAGGGGATTGCTGGAAGGAAAGTAGTAATATGGAAAGTCATGAGACATGCACAGTCATCTCCTCTTGCTTCCTCACAGGTCACATGAATATTCAGGGAGAGTTAATATGAAACATGCAACGGAAATTTGGGCTCTAACATCAGCAAACTCATTCTCCATGGACTTCAGTTGGCCATATTGCTTCCAACATATTTCAGCCAATTTTTTAAAATCTTATAAGCAGAGGAGATTTAAGTGTTTCAACAAGCTGTTTCTTATCTTTCATTCTGAATATCCAATTTTTAAGTCTTTTTTTTTTTAACAGTTTGAAGGCACAAATTCAGCTTCTGTCAAATGGAATACAGAATAGTGTATGACTTTTGTATTAGTTCAGGCTGCTATACCAAAGAACCATGAACTAGACAGCTTATAGACAACAGGATTTAATTTCTCACACTCCTAGAGGTTGGAAATTTGAGATCAGGGTATCAGCATGGTTGAGCTCTGGTGATGACTCTTCTGAATTTCAGACTGCACACATCAAATTTTATTCTCATTTGGTAGAAGGAGACAGACATCCCTCTGGGGTTTCCTGTATAAAGCCAGTAATCTCAATCATGATGGCCTCAACCTCAGGAGTTAATTACAACCTATCTCCTTATAGCATTACACTGGGGGTTACAATTTTAATACAAATTATTGTAACTCTCAAGTTTTTTTAAAGCTGTCATTATTCCTCCTACTGGGTTTTTCCTATTTGCTTCCTCAGTCTTTCCATTTCTTTATGTCTCTTTGTGTGAAACTGTTTGCCTAATTCTGTCTCTCAATTGTATTCCTCAAACAGAGGAAGCAAGCTCCAATGCTATGAGATGCTCTATGTACAGACGCACATAACAAAGAACGGAGGGAGTGCTCAGGCAGTAGACAGAAGTAAAGTCATGCTCTCAGTCTACCCTGAACCCTGCCAATTTTCACAAGCATGAGCTTAAAGGTTGATGCTTTTCCGGTCCACATTCAGTTGAGACCACAGCCCCAATCTCATAAGAGACCTGAAGGCAGAGGCAGCTAACTAAACTGTGTCCAGATTCTGGTCCACACAAATTGTGAGATACTATATACTATTGAAAGGTGCTAAGTTTTAGGGCAATGTTGTCAGAAAGGAGCAGATATCTAGCCTCATCTCCCAAGCCCCAGGATTCTCCATGCCTCTGCTTATCTCTTCCTCAGGCTGTCTGTACCAAATTGGTCCCTTTCTAATCTCTGCCAAACTCACACCTGTAAGACTCTTCACCAAGGGTGGCTTCTCACTGACACATTCTTGTGCAGAGATGCCTCCCTGTTATCATTCTCATCATGGATTAAAGATCACCTCAGTGAGGACTTTGGGTCCCCCCATTCAATGACTTTGCAGCTCTTCTTCTCAACATTCTACTTTATATAATAGTCCTTGCTCTTTTCTTTTATATATACTTGCTTTAGTGCTTTTGTCGAGCTGACTTCAGACTGTTCTGTCCTTGGAGGGGTATGCAGGCATGATGTAATCATTTTCTGTGCCACATGTTGGACCCACCAGGGTAGCTGGCAAAGGGTGAGTGCAAGGGAAAAAAGATTGGCTAAGTGGGCAATGTGGAAATTGTTGATAATAACATGAGGTGTGTGACTCTTACTTGCTCCAGCTGCTCCAGCAAAGCTCAATAGGCACCAGAAACACAGCAGGCTGTAACCACCTCCAGGCCATCACTAACACTGCAGCCCCATGCAGGAACATTATGGAACAAATCAGGTACCATTGTTTTGTGTCCTCAAGACACTGACTCTTTGGAGTTCCAGAGGACAAAGGAGCAGAATCTGAAGGCTCCAAGTACACTGAGTGACCTTGGAATCCTCCATTGCCCTCTCTTTGCCTCCACCATTTGGAGTGTGCCATTTACTCATGAGGCACCCTCCCCTTATCCAGGGAAATTATTTAATACGACTTTCAAATGAGGAGCTCAAAAACCCAACAGGAACTGGCATTTTCCCATGACTTCAGACTCAGGGTCCAGTGTTCTGACACGTTTAGCTCTATCCCATCTTTATCTACCCAAAATGCCTCTGGAGTGGCCATGCCTCTCTCTGATTTGAAGGGCCTCCAGGGAGTAGAAGCATTTCTGCAGAGTTTCAGAGCAAAGAGTCTTAGTTCACCAATGAAGAATCAAGGCTGGCAGACACTTATGAGTATGTGAAACAATCAAGGTTACCCACTTCGAGCACCCCTATTTATGAGGAAGAAAACAGTCTTCTCTGTAGCCATTGTCTACATTAGGCTGAGGTGGAGCATAGCTCATTTTACTTCCAGCTCTCCACAGAAGTGGATACAGAACCCCAGTCCTGTCCTCTTGAAACCGACCTGGAGAGGACCCCATGTGAGACACAACCCTGGAACTGCTCATTCTCTGTGCCCCTGGATATGTATCTAGGGAAGCGGATGCCCTTGCCTTATGGCAGATCTGCCCGCCCAGCTATTCATTTGTAATACATGGCCTTTAATGCTTTGAAGTGAATTTACTTTACACCTAATTTGTTGAGAGTTTTTATCATAAAGCGATGTTCCTTTTTGGAAAAAAGTTTTATTCGTCTATTTAAATGTTATGCTTGATCCTGGGTCTGTCGTTCTGATCAGAAGCTGACAGGTGCATCCATTCCTAGAGGAGAGCATGAGAACATCAGTTCTCACATTCTGTGATCATGACCTGTTTATAATGTCCACTCTGAGTGTCTGACTCCCTGAAGTAAATTGTGGCCCAGGAACTGTCATCTGTTGTCTTCACTGAATTAGGCCAAGTGTCTGGAAAACTGCGTTATATATATGTGATGAATAAATAAGCCCTAACTACAACCTTTTTAGCTATGTCTGAGTGTGCCTGGGGACTCTTTCCTACAGGATCTCTCTGTTTCAAGGACAAAGTCCAGCTAACAGGAAGCTCAAGTGCCCTTTACAAATGTAAGAACATGTTTGTTTTCTATATGATTGTCCAATTATAGAGGGACATGAGTCACTGTGACATGAAAGACCTTCTGGGGTGAAAGAAGAGAAAAAAGTAATAAATACGAACAATCAGAGCATGCCCCAGCAGGCTTTCCACAAAGCCGAGCATTAGGAAACCACTTTTCATATTGTATGCCATTCATTTCTCACAAAAAACATATAAGGTTGTGGGGGAAAGTTAAATATTAAATTTGAATTCAATTGAACATGGACAAAAGCAATGGTCATTAAGTCTCAGACAGGTTGCATGAGCCGCTTGAAGCATTCATCTGGCACTGTTTTGGAGAAATATCTATTTCAATCTATTCCTATGTGTTAGTTATTGAAAAACCACAGACAATTGCAAAAACAAGATAACCTTTTCAAGTTCCTTGAGCCCAGTTGTGAAGAGCCCTCGTGACTGGGCCTCATGCCAAACAACTCATTACAAAAAGAACTAGGGCTCTAGGCCACGCTGAAACTTCCTAAGACCTCTTCTTGTCTGTGCAGGGATGGGTGACCTACTCTGGAGTCGAGGCTGTTGCTTCCCGGTCTGGTAATGAATCCTCCGCAGTCTGGTGGGCGTAAATATGTATATATGTTTCCCTTCTCCCCTTCCCATTGCAATTTGCTTATTATAGCTGCACTGCCATTTACGTCAGATAAAGCTTGTTTACCCTTAAAGGTTTTTTTGGGTGTGTTTTCTTCTCCCCTTGCATGTCTCTCGTACAGAACAGAGGTTCATTTTACAATTCTCTATAAAGATGCAAATTGAGGCTGATAAAGATGCACTGGTATGCTAAGACACAGTTAGTAGCTGGCAGAGTCACCACTGTGCCTTGGAGAAGACATATGCTCAACTACTAGACAGCTGGTCCAGGAACTACAGAGTGGTGAGGAAGTCCTGGTAAAACTTGAGAAAAATGATAAAAAGAAGAGAGTTTGACCCTGGAAGGCTGCTGTCAGGGACTTCGTCAGCTTCTCCGTTGTGCCTGGTTTGGCGCATTGGCATCATTCACACCTCTAGGTTAAGAATAGACTCATTTCCTCTTGGGGAGGGGACAAGACTTTTCATGGCAAGACCATGAAACACCAGAGGCTTGGAATGTGGAGCTTGGATGAGGAAATCTCCATCCTTCAGAGACTTGGGCATGTGGAGGACATGGGTGTTTATGGTGAAAAAGGTTTTAGGCCTCTGATATCAAATTTAATGTGGAGGTAGAGAATAATTAATCCATGAATACATTCAAGGCCTTCACGACATCATATCAGCTGTAAGACAACAGCACCCACTTGTATTAATAATCTTTATGAAGAGCATTATCCCAGAGAATTCCCAAAAAAACATACTCAGCCTACAAATGAGAAAATAAAGCTTTGTGATGTCAAATGGCTGCTCAGAAAAACACAAGTAAGAAAGAGAATCTTCCACGGTGGGGGTTGCATGAAATTCCCTTTAAGCTACCTGAGGCTCTATGTCTGTCCCTGACTTAGGGGGAAGGGCATGGGGAAGGCTCACTTTCTTTCTGTTTTAGAGACAGGGCACAGGATAAGATACCCTAAGACAACCCTTTTGACTTAAAGCAACTGAACTGGGTCTTTTAAAACCTTAAAGGGAGTGTTGAGAAATAACTACAGCAACCCCACACCTGACAAAGGTGTCAGTGCTTGGGGACTCCAAGGTGAGAGAAACCCCTCACAGGGCCAAGGAATTGAGCGGATTAACTGAGGGAACAGAAAACTCAAATAAGTATAAATCAACTGAAAGGTAACTCAAATATATCAGTTGAAAAATTGAAATAGAAACATGTTTTTTTGCCACATAGATAGCAGATTGACAAAAAAATTAAAAGAATGTTGACAACCAAGAGGTTCTGGATACATAAAAGCAGATAAATTCAGAAACTACTATTTACAGTACGGCTTTCACAACCCTTTTGGAATATATTCCGGCTTCTCCTATTAAACCTTTACACTTTCCTACTGTTTCACTGAGTAATCATTTTCCTGGGAGACTATAATCTACAAGGGATTAGTAAATGTTGTGAGCTAGATTGCATTCCCTTCCTAAAAATTATATGTTCATGTCCTAACACCTAGTGCCTCAGAACATGACTATATTTGAACATATAGCCTCTGCAAATGTAGTTAGGTTTAAGTGAATTAATTGGGGTGTATCCTAATTCCAGATGACTGGAGCCCTTATTAGAAGAGGCAGGAAGGACAGAAAAGCACAAGAGAAGATCTTGTGAACACAGATATAGTAGATGACGATCTACAAGCCAAGGATGGAGACCTCAGAGAAACCACACAGCCAGTAGCTTGAGGTTGGATTTCTAACTTCCAGAATTGTGCGACATTCAGTTTTTGTTGTTAAAGAACTTCAGCCTGTGGTACTGTATTAGGGAAGTCATAGCAAAGCGTTACAGCCTATTAGGACACAGATAAGATGTTCCCTGTAGCGGCTGGGCGCGGTGGCTTACACCTGTAATCCTAGCACTTTGGGAGGCCGAGGCGAGTGGATCACGAGGTCAGGAGATCGAGACCATCCTAGCTAACACGGTGAAACTCTGTCTCTACTAAAAAAAAAACCACACACACACAGAGAAAAAAATTAGCCGGGCGTGGTGACAGGCGCCTGTAGTCCCAGCTACTCAGGAGGCTGAAGCAGGAAGATGGCGTGAACCCAGGAGGCAGAGTGCAGTGAGCCGAGACTGCACCACTGCACTCCCACCTGGGCGACAGAGCGAGACTCCGTCTCAAAAAAAAAAAAAAAAAAAAAAAGATATTCCCTGTAGCATGGCTGAAGTGGAAATAGAATTTATTATGTCAGGCTCCACCAGTATTAAAAGCCTAAATTACTGAGGGAAAGGCCCCACTTATGGAATCTTATAAAGACATATGGGGACACAGCTCCTGTCCTGATGGGGCTATAGAGGTGGGCTCTGGGACACATATGTAAAGAGTCATATAAGACCCTTTTGCATAACTCCCACTTTTTGGGTGAAACCTCTCTCTAGTAACAGTGTGAACTTCTAAGACTTAGAGAAGGTCTGGCAAGGCAGCGAAGCTGCCTGCTCCAGGAAGTATGTGGGGTAGGTAGATATAACAATAAAAATAATAGCAAAATGCAAAGATACTCACAACTTAATGTAAAGTAATAACAACACAAAAGTGTTTCTTTTGACATTCCTGCAAGCATATGACCGGGGACTGTGCACCTAAGTTGCCATTATGGACTAATGGAGGCCAAATTCCTCTGGGAAGGAACTGTGGGTCCTTAATGGAGAAAGCCCTAAAACGGTTTCTGGGGAATCCTCACATTTGGGTCAGGGTCCTGGGCTTCCCTGGTCTTTTCCATTTGGAGACCTCTCTGTGCCCACCTTGACTCCAGACTAGCACGGGCCATGGTTGTTGGCATGATGCACCTGCCTTTTGTTCAATGAGATGGAGTAGTTGGACTCATCAAACAGCTCCTCAGGGATCTCCTCAATAGAGTTCTGCAAAGAGAGTGCCTGGAAGCCTGGCCAAGAGGCATCAATGGCATCCTGGCTTTCCCCACAGGGGAAATTCCAGTTAGAAAGTCTACTCCCCAGATCAGGCACATAGGAGCATTTGCGCAGACCTCCAGCCAGGGAGAAAACAAGAGGACAGCTTGAAGCCTTAGAATAAATGTCTGAACAAACAAAGGTGACCCCCAGCACTCACCTTCCCCTCCTGCCAACTGTAACCTGCGGTATAAATTTGACAGGCTTTTAGCCTCCCAATACCTGGAAACCTGCTCCTGTCAAGAAAGGACCCATTATCTCTTTCTTTCCCACGAGACGTGGAGATGAGGAGGGGTGTGTGCCTGCCGAGATGATATCAAAGGTGAGGCCTGGCCTGGATAGGCCTGCCATGGGTGGCCTTGTGTTATCTATGGGTAACCCTTTCCAAATGGCCAGAAGAGCCAGCAGTGCAGAATGAGCACTGTCTCCATCATAAAAAAAAGTCTCTCTGTTCAAGCCTTCCTGAGATGAGAGCCTCAGAAATTCAAGACATAGCAGGAGAACATCTTGCTGTCTTCAGAGTCTCCTTAGTAAATACAAAGCTGTCTCTAGAATTAGGGCTCCAGGTTACCAGAGTTCTAAACTTTCTTTGAGTTTGTAACTAAGGAAGTGAGGTCACTTCGAGATTCCATCACCTGGGCTCCGGTGCGGGAAATGAACGAGGGGAAAAGAAAAGGCACCCACAATAGTTTTAAGGATAAATAGCCTTTATCCCAAGTGTATGGCAATACAGACTTGATAAGCAAATAATATAATAAGCAAATTGCAATGGGAAGGACAGAAAGAAAATATATATATGTATATTTACACGCACCAGACTATGGAGGATTCATTACCAGACTGGGAAGCAACAGCCTGGGCTCCAGAGTCAGCCACGTGTCCATGCACAGATGAGGAGAGGTCTCATGAAACTTCAGCACAGTCTGGGACCCTAGCTCTTTTTGTAATGTGTTGTTTGGCATGAGGCGCAGTCACAGGTGCCCTTCACAAATGGGCTCAAGGAACACAAAAGATCAACTTGTTTTTGCAATTGTCTGTTGTTTTTTCAATAACTAATGTATAGGAATGGATTGAAAGATTTCTCTGAAACAGCGCTGGATGAACACCTCAAGGGGCTCATGCAACCTGTTCCAGGACTTCGTGACCATTGTTTGTGCCCATGTTCAATTGAGTTCATATTAAATATTTAACTTTTCCTCCACATTAGATTCCCAATTCTCAGAACCATGTCCACTGCCACAGGGCCTGGCTGGGAATATTGTCACTCATAGAGTTTAGAAGATGGAATGCTGGTCAGTGATGATGCTAGGGTGTTAGGTGAAGGCAGCCGGGACAGTCCCTCCAGGTTGAGGGAGGAGCTGGCCTCTCTTGTGGGGTCCTTGGCATGTCATTGCCGCTTTGGGCCTCTGTTTTCTTATGTGGAAAATTTAGGAATGATGAGCCTGTTGGGCAGGCCTCACAAGGTGGTGATGGGGCTCAGGGAGACAGAGAATCTGAGGGTGCTTGTGTCTGGCTCATCCTGAGAGGGATGATGGTGACAGCAATCATGACAACCACATGAAACCGAGGTGGTAAGAGGCCTTGTGAGGTAGTTGGTTCCCACCACACTTTCCAGTTGAGGAAACAGCTCAGGGAAACCCGACTGCATGCCCAAAATGACACATCCAGGGAGTGTTGGACCTGGGAGTGAGTCTAGAATCAGAGCTTACTGGAGATGATCAGAGCATTGGACAAGCTGACTCAGGCCACTTATCCGTGTCCAAGGTTAGTGTAGCTGAGGCGTAACTGAAAGAAGCATATTTTCACTGACCTTGTCCCTCATCTTAGCAGGTGAACAGCGTACAAGTTGTCTACCCTGTAGCGGAGCCCCAGAGAGCTTAGATGAGGCTGTGACAGCAGAAGGTGAATGTGTCTGTGATGGGGAAGGGCTCCAGGGTTTCAGAGAACAGAGCTTACTTCTCCCAGCTGGAAACCTCCAAATCAAAAAAGCAGAGGGCCTTTCTACTCCAGCCCTTTTCTCCTGGAGCTGCAGTGCCTAAAACACGTTCATTAGACAGACCAGAGCAAGGCCTGGGAGAGCTGGTCTCCGTGTGGCTTTTAAAATAGGTGGAGCCAGGGACCACATGACCTTGTGGCTTGTTAAAATCCCACCAAGGAGGTAATTATGGTGAGGTTGGTGGCAATAGAGGCCAGCTAATGGGAAGACATAGAGAATTGGGAAAAGGCAGCTGAGGGTTCTCAGCTACTCCAAGTGGGTAACCTAGGTAGAGGGCGCCAGGAGGCAGGGGTTTATAAGATTTCAGCGGACAGGACTTGGGTGGGCACCTCCCAAGTCATGCCCTCTCTGGGGACATTCCTCACTGATGTGGTGATGCTGGACATTGCCATGAAAGAGTGTGTGGATGTGAGTGAGCCTGGAGCAGACAGGTCAGGGACCAGGATCCTGAGGCCTGGGAGAAGAGAGTCTTGAACTGAGCTCCTAGATCCCAGTCCTTGCCAAAATTTTTTGCGAGGGCCTCGCAGCCCTCCTCATCCCGTAAACAGGGTATTTTACTCATGAGTGATGGAGGCTCCACAGCAGCCATCAGTCCCACTCCCTGAGTAGTGAAGCTGCAGAGCTGCAAGACCTCTTTTGTGCACATTCCGTGACCCTGGTGGCTCTGGAGGTGGTGAAGCTTGGAAATCGCTGGAAATGGAGGCTAGTTATGGACCAGCGGACCTTTCTGATGGTCTTTGGCTTTCTGTCTTCCAGAGAAATGTGATCAAAACCCAGAAAAACAGAAAGGTGAGCAGTAGCTGAAGTCCTCACTTTGAGGGAGGGTGGAGGTGGAAATGAGAAATCACCCTGGGCAGGACATTCCCTGGTCCCTTCTTCCGCATCTAAGATTTATTGAAAGGGAGTAATACACAGAGAAGGAGGAGACCTATCCTAATGCAGGGTGCAATCAGGGGAGTGAAGTTGATGACAACTTCCTAGAGGAAGGGCCGTTTACATTCAACTCTGAGAACCAGTTAGGGCTGCATGATATTGGAGGGGAGGTGAGAGCCCCTTAAAAGAAACACCTCAGAGACCAGCCCTCCTCCCTTCTTTTATAAGGCCCCTACAGAGTCTTTCACCCAGGCCCTGTCAGCATCCTGTCTTTCCCTCTGTCTCCAGAAGATTAAAGTCCTCCAGGAGATGCAGCAGTTCCACACAGCTGGAAACCATCATCATCTTCAGACTCAAGAGGAATTTCGGGCTTGGTTCCAAGCCTGGAGCAGCACAATCAGAATAAAAGGCAAAGACCTAGCAGATGAGCAGAGGGTAGGAGGGGAGACTGTCTTGCCGCCAGCCTCACACAGCCTGTGGCCAGGGTTCCCTGGCCAGCATCAGGTCCTGTTGCACCTGGACTCCAGCTGCTGGGGAGGAACTGGGGGACCTGAGGTGTGGCTTCTGGAACCTCACAGCTGTCACTCTTCTCTGAAGTTGCTAGCCATGAAGAACAGGCTGTGATAAAATCTCAGAGCCATTAAGTGCCTGTTGTTGGAATTGCTTTCATGGCTCATTGAAGTTTGTACTAAGCATGGGCTCTGGCAGTCAGGCAGCTCGAGTAGGGTTCCAGCCACACCATTGACCAGCCCTGCGAGTGGGGCAGAAAGCTCACTGCTCTGGCACTTGAGGCATCACGTCGTAAATTTAATGCAACCAATCCCCTTTTCACTGTTACCTACCTTTCTCTATAATCACCATGACCTGATCTCTGCTAGCATTTTTCTTAAAATGGATAAACATATGTTATATAGTATATATTATTCTTCCTCATGATTTTTTTGTTATATTGTCTCTTTCCACTCATATGAGATATTTACAGCAGTTAAGTTCATAGAAACACGAAGTAGAAGAGTAGTTTCCAGGGACTACACAAAGGGCAATGGAAGGGGAGTGTTGTTTACTGGGTACAGAGTTTCACTTTTAAAAGATTGAAAAACAGTTCCTTATGAACTTGGACAATGGTTGCAAAACAATGTGAATGTATTTAATTTCTTTAAACTGCACACACAAAAAAATAAAATGGTTAATTTCATGTATTTTTATATTTTACTAAAAGGTAAAAACTACTTTCTAAAATGAACAGACTATAGCTATTTGCAACTGGTGGGTGAATATCACAAATGTAATGTTGCATAAAAGAAAGCAGACATGCCAGTTTGGGCAACATGGTGAAACCCTGTCTCTACCAAAAATACAAAACAATTAGCCGGGCATGGTGGTGCAAGGCTGCGGTCCCAGTGACTCAAAAGGCTGAAGTGGAAGGATATCTTAAGCCTGGTAGGCAGAGGTTGCAGTGAGATCATGCCACTGCACACCAACCTGGGGAAAAGAAAGAAAGAAAAAAGAAGAGAGAAAGAAAGAAGGAAAGAAAGAGAGAAAGAAAGAAGACAGAAAAGGAAAGAAAGAAAGAAAACAGAAAAGGAAATAAAGAAAACAGATGTACAAGTATACATACTATATAATTTTGTTTATATAAAATGCTACAATCAAATAAAACTGAGGTTCTGACTTCCACTAAGTGTGGACTAGCTTGTTGAACTCTCACAAATAACAATGATGAAACTTGAATAAAATATATTATTATAGAAAAACGCCTATGCATAATACATATATGATATGTGTGTTTAACAACTGAATGAAGATTTCAGCTATACCCACTGTAGCAGACACAAGCATTGGTTTGACACTAGCCCAATGAACCCTGTTTATAAAACAAAAGTCTTCAAGGTAAAACAACAAAATCCAGAGTTTCTATTCTATAATTATCATTTATAGTTTCTAGTGCACAATTTTAAAATTCATAAGACTTGTAAAGAAACGTGAAAATGTCATCCATACACAATATCAAAAGCAGGCAGTAGAAGCTATCCCAGGATGTTGCAATCAGCAGACAAGAATTTGAAGGCAGTTTTTATGAATATGTTCATGGGGAAAAAAGAAAATATTCTATTCATAAACAAACAGATGTGGAACTTCAGCAGAGAAATGAACATATATATAAAAAAATTATAGATAAGGAAATGAAAAAAATCTTTTGCGTTTAGCCATAGATTTAAAACAGAAGACACAGCAATAGAAATTATCCAGTCTGGGAAAAAAAAAGTACAAAAAGTTTAAAGGAAATGAACAGAGCTCTCGAGACCTGTGGAATGACTGAGTCTAAGGAGAAGGGAGAGACAAAAAAAATTAAATAGGGAACAAAAGTAAATCAACAACTAATAGCGGAATACTTCCAAAAACTGTCCAAATACCTAAATATTTATATCCAAAAGGTCAATAAATACAAAACAAAATACAAATAAAACCACAGCAAGGCCATATCGTGGTTTATGAAACAGGCAAGGCAGGGCTTTTGCTTGACTTGCTATGATATCTAATTGCTACTATTTATGGATACTATGGAAATAAATACTAAATAGAATGGGAGATAGGTTATTCTCAGAGTTTTTTTTTTTTTTTTGCAAAGATGACTGTTATTAAAGGTAGATGACTTTCCAGCATGTCGAAAGGGGCGTGGCAGGGGAGGGGCGAGGAGAAGGGTCGGGGCTGAGGGAGGGGCCCTGCAAAGGTCTGGGCGCGCCCAGCTCCCCGAGAGCAAGCGTTACGGCAACACTGGGCAGGCTGTTAGAGGCTCCCGGGCTCTGTCTTGTCAGAGAGAAATCAAACTTCAGGCACAAATAGTCGTACAACTGGCACGTGGGGAGACTGTGTCACAATTACAAGTGAGACCACCTGCCCTGGCCACGCTGTCTCCTCGCACGCAGAAGTTTGGGAACAGATAGGCTCCCCTCAGCAGGGCGGAATTGCACTGGAAACATGGAGGGGCGGAGGAGAAGATGAAATTATCCCCGCAGTGTTGGAACTGTAGTCTCAGAGAAGATGAAATTTTCCCCGTAGTGTTGGAACTGTAGTCTCAGATCCACTCCCAGCCTTTCTGTCGCGGCAGTCGGACTATGATCCCAGCATGCGCTGGGCTTAGGGGAGGTTCCCAGCCCTGGAGGAAGGGTCAACAGGGTGGGTCCCTCGCAAGGCGTCCTGGGAGTCATAGTCCTTAAACAGTTTCCAGCACGTTGATCGCAAGGCTACCGAACTACAATGCCAGCATGCACCGGGATTGGGGCGGTGTGTAACGCTGGAGGGAAGGATAGAGAGGCGCGTCCCTGGCCAGGGATGCTGGGAGTTATGGTCTCTTAATGGTTTCCAGCGATGGCCCCCGGCCTGCAGACTAAAATCCCAGCAGCCACCGGGCTTCGAGGCGGTGTGTAGCACTGAAGGGAAGGATAGGGAGGTGCGTCCTTAGCCAGGCGTGCTGGGAGTTATGGTCTCTTAACAGTTTCCAGTCAGTTGGTCCCAGGACTACCTGACTACAATCCCAGTATGCGTTGGGCTTGGGGGCGGTGCGCAGCCCTAGAGGAAGGATCGGGACGGCGGGTACCTCGCAAGGCATCCTGGGAGTCATAGTCCTTTCAGTATTTCCAGCCCATTGGTCGCGAGGCTAACGGACTACAATCTCAGCATGCGCTGGGTTTGGGGTCGGTGTGTAGTATGGAAGCGAAGGATAGGGAGGCGCGTCCCTAGCTAGGAGTGCTGGGAGTTATGGTGTCTTAACGGTTTCCAGCCCATTGGTCGCCGACCTGCTAACTACAAAACCAGCATGCGCTGTCTGTCCTCCCCCGTGGTGCGCAGCCCTGGAGGGAGGGACAGGGCGGTGTGGACTCGTCCTTTCCTAAGCGATGCCACATGCTGATTCTGTGCCACCCCCTCGCCAAGGGAGTCCGCAGAAGGACTTGAGGGGCAGGTCTAGGCTGGGCGATGAGGACGGTGTGACCCTGCGAAGTGCACCTCCCTTGCTCAAATCGGAGGGGTCTGGTCCTCATGAACAGCCCGCTGAACATCTCGGTGTCCTCTCACATACACACCCGCGGGGGGTTTCCAGAGCATCGCACCTCTTCCAGCCCAGGGAGCCGCCTGCTCTGCTAAACTCTATGGGAACTGAGACATCCACCTGCTGCGTGACCCACCCGTGCGCAACTTCAGAGCTTTCAGGGGGTGATGCGGGCTGTGGCTCCTTCGTGAAAATGTCACCGTCTGCAGCGCCTTTCTTGTGATATAGAACTTGACGGGTGAGAGCGGGTATTTCTTGGGTTACTCAGGATCTGCTAACAGCAGAGGAGAAAACCACAATTCCCAGGCATAAGAATCTACCTAAAGACGATGGTTTAGATATTTTACAGTTGAAATCACCAGCCTCATCTCAACTGAGTCCTGACTGACGAGTGTCTCAAAAAAGCAGCTGGTGACCTCATCCCTCAGGAACAGGTGGTGCTCCAGCTTTGTGGGGATGACTTTCAAGGTGCAGAGCACTTGAGCCGCATTTGAAGTCATTCATGTTTTACATCTCTGCTTTGGATGGAAAGTTGATCCCCCACAGCCGTTGGGGATGTACCTTAATATACTGGGGCTTATCAGTTAAATTTTTCTGTCTAGACAATGAAAACCCAGAAGTTCCACTTGCAGGTAGCCTCTTAATAATCGACGTTCCTAAGTTCCTTATGTCCTCAGGATAGTTCCTTTTGTTCCCAGATGTTACCAACTTTGATGATGCATCTAATCTGTACAAACCTGTGTATTTCTCTATGTGAAAAGAAAACTTTGTTCAAATTACATGTTCTTATAATTTTCACTTGTGATCGGTGAGTATGGGACACTATAAAAAAATCCTGAAAAACCTCATCATAGCAATTGAATCACGTTACTGTACTTTATGAGGAATTAACCCCTTCAGGATGAATTACTCATGGGTTCATCAGCACATTTGTGAAGAAAGGAAGAAAAACTGTATGGCCTTTATGAAATTGGAAAAATAAAGAACTATATATAGGAGGACCACAGCACAATACTAGGGCCCTTCTCTTATTTTAAATAGACTCTATGGGGTCGAATGCCTGCATTCCTAACCTATCCTGCAGTATTCTCATCCTACTCTTCACTGTGTATTTAGGTGGGGGGTTCTGAATTCACTTGTCCACAGCGTTAGTGGGGATGTTGTAACGTGAGGGTATCCATCATCTATCATCTTAATAATTAATGAAGAGAAGAGCCTTGAGATCTGTCTTCAGATACACTGCTGCCGAGTATGTGCCTGCAAAGACACTGCCCACACCGGTGGTCTCAGAAAGTTGAACCTGATGCCACCACAAGCTGCTGTTCACAGATCTAGGTGCTCCTTGTGATTTGAGTCTCCTTCTTACATTTGTGGTTGTGAACCTGCTATGCTCACCCCATTTATGGTAGTATATTTTGTGTCACCTTTTCTATTCCATTTGTTTCCTGGGAACTCACTGTGTAACTGCAATTCAGAGAATATGTAGGGATTCCACCCCCGACTACCTAAGTCACTGTATACTGGTCACATTTGTGTCATGTTTTCAGACTACACACTCTTCCTCTCTAATGGAATTTGTTGAAGAAATATAGTTGCCTGTAGATCTCCTCAGTGTAATGTGGCTGGGATTGATTATGAAGCTGGGCATGTTGTCCTTGGCCTCATAGACATTATTCAAAATACCTTTCCCATATTTTGAAGTTTGATACTACTTTGTTAATGTGAACACTTGCCATAGCAGGCTCTATTAAATATCTCTGTGAATTTAACTGTCAAAACAACTTATGAAGTAGGCACATGATCCCCATTTTACAGGTGAGGAAACAAATGTTCCAAGATTTTGAGTAATTTTATTAACTTTACACAGCTTTCTGGTGCATTTTGAATCTTAAGTTGGATCTCTTTCTCCACAATGCGTGGGCTTACCTCCTTTTCTATTTTGTGCCTCTCTGCTAGCATCTGCAAGGGTACATTTTATTTTTAGTACATCTTCCACTTGATGGTGGGAAACTTGACAAACAGATCCTTAGTGGGAGAGGAAACTCACTGGCATTTGTCCTTCTCTCTGCTCCTTCTTACCCTGGCAGGCATGAGACTTATCAAGTGAGATGGAGCAGTGGTAGATCCTGACCAGTCCTCACCTGGAATATTTGTTATTATAAAAACATAGTCCTCTCATTTTTTACAAGTGTAACTTCTTTGCCTTAAAGTTTTGTCTGGGCTTTCTCTTACAGGTTCCTGCGAATTAAGTTGCAAATATTGATGAAGATAATACTACTGCCTTGCTGTCAAACAGTAACAGTCACCTTTTTTTCTATCTCCAATTATAAATGCAATACATACTGTAAAAAGAAAAGAAAACATCATAAATATCTTTATAAAGTAAAAGTCTTGGCTGGTCTCTGGGAGCAGTGACTCATGCCTGTAATCTCAGCACTTTGTGAGGCCGAGGTGGGTGGATCATGAGGTCAGTAATTTGAGGCCAGCCTAGCTGACATGGTGGAACCCCATCTCTACTAAAAAATACAAAAATTAGCTGGTCTCGGTGGCGGGTGCCTATAATCCCAGCTACCCACGAGGCTGAGGCAGGAGAATCACTTGAACCCAGGAGGCAAATGGTGCAGTGAGCCAAGATCGTGCCATTGCACTCTAGCCTGGGCAACAAAGTGAGACTCCATCTCAAAAACAAAACAAAACAAAAAACTTGGTTGGCGTAGTGGCTCAATCCCAGCACTTTGGGAGCCCAAGGCAGGTGAATTGTTTGAGCCCAGAAGCTCAAGACGAGTGTGGGCAACATGGTAAAACCCTCTCTCTACAAAAATACAAAAATTAACCAGTTGTGGTGATGTACACCTGTATTCGCAGCTACTAGGGAGGCTGAGGTGAGAGGATTGTTTGAGCCTGGGAGGCCAAGATTGCAGTGAGCTGAAATCACACCACTGCGCTTCCATGTGGGCAACAAAGTGAGACCCTGACTCAAAAAATAAAAACACATTAAACTGAAAGTCCCCTTTATTCCCTTCTCTTCAAACTCACCTTTTTTATTTGAAAAAACTGTTAAGAGGTTGTTTTTTATTCTTCTGGCTAAGTTGTATAAATTTCTTTTTTTTTTTCGAGACAGACTCTCGCTCTGTTGCCCAGGCTGGAGTGCAGCGGCGCGATCTCGGCTCACTGCAAGCTCTGCCTCCCGGTTTCACGCCATTCTCCTGCCTCAGCCTGCCGAGTAGCTGGGACTAGAGTTGCCCGCCACCACACCCGGCTAATTTTTTGTATTTTTAGTAGAGACAGGGTTTCACCGTGTTAGCCAGGATGGTCTTGGTCTCGATATCCGGCCCCCTGATCTGCCCCCTTCGTCTTCTCAGAGTGCTGGGATTAGAGGCGTGAGCCACCGCCCCCGGCCTGTTCTATAAATTTCTAAGTGATACACATAAAGTTTATTTTAAAAATTACATCACACTACATTAAAATTTACTCTTTCTCCAGGTGTATTCCATCTATTTATTTATCTATCTATCTATCTATCTATCTATCATCTATCATCTATCTATCTATGACAAGGCCTTGCTCTGTCACACAGACTGGAGTTCAGTAGCTCAATTATGGCTCACTGCAGACTCAAACTCTCAGGCTCAAAGGATTTTCTAACTTCAGCTTCTGAAGTAGCTGGGAGTACAGGTGCATGCCACTACTCCTGGTTAATTTTTAGTTTTTGTTTGTTTTTTTCTTTAAACAGGGTCTCACTGTGTCACCTGGGCTGGAATGCAATGCATAATCACAGCTCACTCTAGCCTTGACCACTCAGGCTCAGGCAATTCTCCTGCCTCAGCCTCCTGAGCAGATGGGACCACAAATGTGTATTAACACACTTGGCTGTTTATTATTATTTGCAGAGACAGGGTCTCCCTATCCTGCCCAGGCATGTTGTGAACTCTTGTGCTTAAGCAATCTGCTACCTCGGCCTCCCAAATTGCTGGAATTACAGGTGTGAGCCACCACAACTTACCCAGCCTTTTTACTTTGTGTAAGAATAGCATCAGTGTATTAAAAATACGACGGAAATTATTTATGGTGTCTTTTCAATTCTTATGCATTAAAATTCTCTTATTAGAGCCTTTTATTAATGGTTATAGTGTATTTTCTGTGAAATTTTACTGTCACACACTGCATGCCAATGATTCAAGATACCCGAACTTCATGAATGCACAGTCACAGTAGAATATTTTAGTTATCTAAAAAGTATTTTCATAAATGATATATCAAGTATATATGCAAGGTAGCCTGGTCTGGTAGCAGGTGCTTGTAATCTCAGTGAAGGCTGGGGCAGGAGAATGGTTTGAACTCAGGAGGCGGAGGTTGAAACGAGCCGTCGTCTCGCCACTGCACTTCAGCTTGGGAGACAGAGTGAGACTCTGTCTCAAAAAAAGAAAAAAACTTTGCTTGCAAGATTTTATGAGTAAATATGTTTCTTATTTTTCTTTACAATTCCATATTACTGTCTCGATTATTTATAATAGGTTCCAGGGCAGCAGTTGATTTTATTTTGGGTTTTACTTATGTATTATAACTTTGGATGTTATGATTTTCAACTCTGCCTGTACACTTCAAGTCAATGTGGATTTTTAGAAAAATGTTAATAGTACAAACTATTCATAGATTCAACTTCATAATGTTAAAAGCAACGGCAGCTCCTGGTTTAAAAAGGGAACGGTGGAAGCAGCCGGCCATTTTATTTAAAATCGCGTTAGATTTTTCAGATGGATGATAGTTAAGATCATTAAATCCCATTACTGCTTCTAAGATTTCCACAAAATAGTACATTAAATCCTCAGTCCTAAGCAATCACGACAGAGATTCAAAATTGCCTCTCAATGTCAAGGTAAACAGCGCACTATCTTCTCTTGCAATAAAGGTACATCATTTGATATACAAGGGAGCATAGCAGTCAGACACTTACAAGATCGTGCTGTAGAAATAACTTCCATGTTTTCATCCGCCATGTGTATCCTCACCTCTGTCTCCCATGCAGTAACACTATCAGTTTCCTCATGTGTCTTTTCTACTTTCTTTGAAAGAGGATGCTGATTGCAGACAATACATGACAGAGGCATTTCAAATCAGAAAGGAGTTTCTTGAGATATACGTGATTTTAGTTTTAAGTAGAATGTCCTGAAGAGTTTTAGTTACAATACCACCTTCAAGAGGATGGTGGTGAAATTCATAGTAAACATTTGGCAAAATATAGGTTATGAGGCAGCCATCTCCTAGAAACACTTCATCGGGGTTTATATATGAAATGTGAAATATCGTAGGTTTAATCCTGGCACAGAACCAAAACTGAGTGCATTGCACTTGAACAGCTGACCAATCCCCAGCACAGGTCCATATGAAGAAACGGAGAAGAAAGAATCCTTTTAACCACAGAAAGGTCTTCATTTGCCCAAACTGAAAACCAAATTTCACTCAGGAAACTAATGTTGGGTTTAATTAAAATATAAATCGGTCATACGTTTTCAAAATTAAATTATATATGTGTTTGTCTCTATAAATATGTCCCCAACTTTGCTCCTGGCTTATCTTCCATATTTTTTGGCTGATTTTCAGTGGTTGTCTTATCTTGTGAGGATGAATAGTCATTGAAATAATCTTAATTTCACAATGAGTTTAATTATAAATCTATACTTCCTTTGTGTGAGAGAAAATCTTTTGTGAACAAAATTTAATTTTTGGAAAGATTTATAAGTCCATATTTTTTCCTTTTAAAAACTGCGATTGTGGTAAAAACACATAATGTAAAATTTACCATTTTAATTCTTTTTAAGTGTATATTTCATTAGCGTTAAGTACATTCACATAGTTATGCAAAAGATCTGTAGAACTTCTATGTCTTGCAAAACTAACATTAAATGTCTTTTAAGACAATTGCCCATTTTACCATCTCTTCAGTCCTTGACAAACACCATTCTAACTATTTTTTTCCTATGAGTTTGTCTACTTAAGATACCTGATTATGAATGGAATCATAGACTGTCACTTTGTTCCTGGCTTATTTCAGTTAACGTGATATTCTCAAGAATAATCATATAATGTGACTTTTTAAAGACTGAATAATATTCGACTTTGTGTATGTGCCACTTGTTATTAATCTCTTCATTGGTCAAGGGACAGCTGGGTTGTTTCTGCCTTTTGGCTTGTGTTAGTAATGCTGCAATAAATTTGGGTGTGCAAATATCTCTTCCGGATCATGTGTTGTATATTTTAAATACATAGCCAGAATGGGGTTTGCTGGATTGTATAATAATCTCATTTTAAATTTTTTGAAGAGCTTTCATACTATTTTAAATATAGGTTTGATGTGATAGATTATTGTGACTTTTCTTTGTATTTTTATAGAAGAGAGTTGTCGAGTATCCTTTTAAATGCCTAGTCATTTCTATGTCTTCTTTGGAGAAAGTCATTTCAAACATGTGCCATTCTAAATCAAGTTATTAACTTTTTTTGTTGTTGAGTTTTAGGAATTTATATATTTTGAAAATTAACACCTACCAAATATGTGATTAGAAAATATTTTTACTCTTTTTTGTTTTATGTATGTATGTATGCATATATATAACCCTATACAAGACAGGGTCTTGCTATGTTTTCATGGCTAGTCTCAAACTTTTGGCCTCAAGTGATTGTTCTGCCTTGGCCTCCTAAAGTTGTAGAATTAAAGGCATGAGACACCATGCCTAGCTTTCACCCACTTATTAGGTGACGTTTGTATGGCACTAAATGTTTTATTTGATGTGTAGAATAGTTGAAGCTTAATGTAGTCCCTTTTTTTGGTCGTTGTTCTTTTCCTTGTTGCTTATGAATTTGATGTCAAACTTAAGGAAAGAGTTTTAAGACTTATGTCATAAACTTTTCCCTTATGTTTACTTCTAAGAATTTTATTAGGTTTTATGTTTAAGTATTGAATTCATTTAAAAAACTTTTCTTTTTATATATGATACAAAGGAAGCATCCAATTTTATTTTTTTCTCTGTAAATATTCAATTTGGAAAATTCTTTGTTAAATAGATTCTTATTTTTCTATTGTGTGGTCATGGAAAGCTTATGGAAGATTATTTTATCACATATGCAAGGGTTTATTTCTGGGATCTCTATTCTGTTTCGTCATCTATGTATCTGTTTTTGTGGCAATACCATATTGTTTTTATTTTTGTAGCTTTGTATCATGATTTTGAATCAGAAAATGTAATACCTCTTTGTTCTTTTTAAAGGGTGTTTGGCTAGTCACCTTTCCTAAGCAACGTTTAGAATTATACACAAAAATTCTGCAAAAAAAATACCATTGGGATTTTGACAAAAATTACCTTACATTTTTATATCATCATGAGTAGTACTGGCAACATTTTTTTTTTTTTTTTTTGGAGATGGAGTTTTAGTGAGTCACTCAGGCTGAAGGGCAGGGGTGCGAGATGTGCTCACTGCAGGCTCCGCTTCCCAGGTTCAAGCAATTCTCCAGTCTCAGCCACCAGAGTAGCTGGGATTGCAGTCGTGCACCATCATGTCTAGCTAACTTTTGTATTTTTAGTAGAGATAGGGTTTTGCCATATTCACTAGGCTAGTCTCAAACTTCTGATCTCAGGTGATCCACCCACTTTGGCCTCCCAAAGTCCTAGGATTACAGGCATGAGCCTCATGCCGGCCCTGACATCTTAACAATATTAAATCACCTGACACTTGAGCAAGACTATATGAAAGATTTTGCTTAATTTCCTCTTATTTACATATTTGCCACATTTTCTTGCTTTTGAATTCTAGTTTCATTTACATTGTATGGCTTCGGTTTTCTTAAATTTAATAAGACATGTATCCTAACAGAATGTACCATGTGTGATTTAGAATATTGCAGATTTTGCTCCTTTAAATTGGAGAGTTCTGTAAATGCTGGTTGGGTCTATAATGTTCAGGTTTGGCTTTCTTACTGATATTACTTCTGACTATTCTAGTCATTACTGAAGTGGAGACTTGAAGTCCACCATTGTTGTGTTGCTATGTATTTCTTGCTTGACTTCTGTCAATATTTGTTTTACATATTTGAAAGACGAGAATCAGTTGAACCTGGGAGGAGGAGGTTGAAGTGAGCCTATCGAGAGATCGTGCCACTGCCCTCCAGCCTGAGAGAAAGAAACTCTGTCTCTAAAAAAAAAAAAAGAAAGAAAGATGTCAGTGCTATTTATAGTAATACAAAAATTTAATGTAATTTTTGTCAAAATCTCAATGGTATATTTTTGCAGATTTTTCAAATTATATATATATGATTTATAAATTATTGTTATAGATTCCTGGAAAGTTAATCCATCTCACCATTACATAATACCAATCTCTCTCGGCCGGGCGCAGTGGCTCACGCCTGTAGTCTCAGCACTTTGGGAGGCCGAGGCGGGTGAATCATGAGGTCCAGAGATCGAGACCATCCTGGCCAACAAGGTGAAACCCCATCTCTACTAAAAAGTACAAAAATTAGCTGGGTGAGGTGGCGGCGTGTGCCTGTAGTCCCAGCTACTCGGGAAGCTGAAGCAGGAGAATCGATTGAACCAGGGAGGTTGTGGTTGCAGTGAGCCGAGATCGTGCCACTGCACTCCAGCCTGGTGACAGAATGAGACTCTGTCTCCAAAAACAAAAACAAAAACACAATACCAATCTGTCTCTTGTTCATATTTTTGATTTAAAATATATTTTGTTTAGTATAATTATGACCATGGCCCTCCAATTTTAGCTACTCTTTGCATAAAATATATTTTCTTTATACTGTTACTTTCAACTTATTTGAGTCCTTAGAGCTGGAATGACTCTTGTAGAGAGCACATTGCTGGATCTTCTTTGTTCTTAATCCATTAAATTATTTATTAATTTTCTTTAAGGTATTTAACTTTTTATATTTGAAGTCATTACTGCATTTAATGAAGTTACTTTATTATTTGTAATTGTCTTCTGTGTTTCTTGTAGATGTGTTATTTATCATTTTTTCTCTTACTGCTTTATTTCTGTTTGTTGATTTTGTAGTGACGTGATTGAATTTCTTTCTCGTTTGCCTTTGCATACATTCTACAGGTTTTTTTGGTAATCATCCTGAGAAATAAAGACTTCATAAATCATCTTAAAGTTATGACAGTATAGAACAACCATATTTCAACTGAATGCAAAGTTGTACCTCTTCACACTCCCACTGTTTTATTAATATCACATATTATCTTTCCTTATGGTCTATGATCACAAATTTATGCAGATTTCTGCTTCATGTTTTAAACTCCATGGCAATATTTTGAAAGTTTTGTGCACCATGATTATGACAGTAGAGATTTCTTTACCTGTTTATATATTTACCTTTAATAGAGAGCTTTCTATTTTCATGTGCTGTTATGATGCTCTGCAGCATCATTTCATTTTTGGACTTGATAGACTCTTTTACACTTCCTTTAGGACTCTTCTAGTGGTTAGTAACACAATCAACTTTTATTTATTTTGGAAAGGTTTAGTTTTTTTATTTCTGAAGTGATATTACTCCAGTTGAAGGTTTTTGTTTGGAAGTATTTCTTCTTGTTTAATTATCTTGTCATGTGGGGATTTCTCAGCTACTTTTTAAAAATAATCTCTTTATTACTTTTCTCCTATATTGTTTTTGTAAGACTCCTTTCATAAATATAATGGTCCACTTGACAATGTGCAGTACGTCCCATACTTTTTCCTCCATTCTGCTTAAAAAATTTGTTTTCATCACTCAATATTTATAACTACAATGTCATCAATTGTGTAATTTTTTCTCCTTTATTAGTCTGCTTTTGTGACTGTTGATTAAATTTTTAATATAGCTATTATGTTCTTCAGATTCACAATTGTTGGTTTTTAAAAATCTTTTTATTGATATCTCATTTTCTTTATGTATCACTTCTTCTAATATTCTTTTGTTGTCTATGTTCTGTTTTTGTTCATTAAGCAGTTTTTTCTAATCACATTTTATTGAAAACTGCACTGAATGCTAAATGTCCATCTTTACAATAAACAACTACAGTAACGGTAATTCGCACTACACTAAAACAAAACGTACTTCTGATAGCCATTATTTTTCTGTTTGGGACAGTTTTAAAAATTTCTCTTTTCTTACAAAAACGGGAATGTCCCTAACCAAAGGATCAAAACAGGCCATCTTTTTAAACAAAAAGACAATATTCACAAAAGACTATGAATAGAACATGTAACTAATTGATGCAAATCTAATATAATTTGTTAAAATCAGTCACATCCAATACAGCTGAAGTGTTCTTGTATAAAACACAACGTGAAGAAAAGAAGACTTTATCAATGTCTTAAAAAGTGGGTTTGTTCATAGACAATCTGACAAGTTACCATTAAAAGTGTTTCCTGTGACATAAGAAAGTGCAATATTATTTTTCTTGAACCCTTTTAGTGCAAGACTTCCCACTAAATAAAATACCAGAGGATCTGAAACTAAGAAAATATACTTGATTACAAACAGCGTGTGAAAGTTAATACTTTTTTTTTTTTTTTTTTTGCATTATCGGAGGCTTTTACTGAACTTACAACCAACTTGCCCGCTCAATATGCAGTTCAGATGTGAGAGACGCTTCTCTGTACAGGACCCGGTACTGTCTTCAATCCTATGCGTGAGGATGTCTACCACAGGCAAACAGTTTACTCCATATTTTCTAGTAATGTGATCTTCCTATTAGCAAAAAGCTGTAACCAGTCCCTGTAGACTGAAGGGACTCAAGTCACAAGATGGGGATTTCCTCCTCATGGTTTTTATTTTGATGTTTGAAGTCTTGATGCAACATTCTGAGCTGGGTGTTCCTGACCTGCTGTGCCCAAGGGACTGACAAAGGAAAAAGTTGTATTTATTCTTTGTGATTTGACGCACAGATGAAAAACTAAACACATAATAACGGAAGTTGGTGGTTAATAAATCACATCCTAGTCTTTCAGAGCTTCCGTAAGCAGACGACATCTTCAGTTTTCTAGGTCTTGCAGTTTTAACACTGCAAAACCAATGAGCATATGTCCAGAATCAGCTAAAAAGAGCGTCAGATTCTTTTTCTCTTAGTTTGTCTATTTTTCACTGTCTCTTCTTCAAAAGTGTATCTGAATGATTACCTTCCGGCATTCTCTGTTATTACTCGTTGGGGTGCTCTCGATTGTCCCCGTGTTTGAGGGCTGGTTGGGAGAGGGTGCTTGGGAAGGATGTGCCACTGTCGGGAGTTTATGAGTCACCAGGATGTCTCCAGGGAAGGTCCCTTCCATGGATGCAGGAAGTCCTCCTGGACCCACACCCAAGATGCCTGGATGAATTTCTTGCTGGTCTATTTCCCACCAAAGCACAGATGTGACAAAGAATTCCTCGTTCACACAGTTTCTTAAGCTTCCTGGGATGCGACCTGTGATGGCTCGGCGGAGCTCGGTGGCAGCTGTCTCCCTCATCTCCAGTGACACCTGCTGGCTGTAGCAGGCAGTGAGAGGAGTGCAGATGAGATTGGGGGCATCTTTCAACGGACCCTGAGCAAAGCTAAAGGGCTGCGACTCGTTCACGTCGAGGACTGCCCTTCGTATCCTGCCTTCCTTGAGGGCCTGTGCTAAGGCTCTCTCGTCCACCAGGCCACCACGGGCTGCGTTCACAAGGAATGCTCCCTGCCTCATCTGCTTTATGGTAAAGTCATTGATGAGGTGGTGCTTAAGTTCGTTGAGACTGCAGTGCAAGGAGATGCAGTCGCTCTGATACAGCCAATCCTGCAGGGTGTAGACCCTCTGCATGCCCAGGGACTGCTCGATCCCATCCTGCAAGTAGGGGTAATAAAACATGACGCTGAATCCAAAGGCTGTGGCTGGAACTGCAAAAGCCTGCTGCGTGCGACCCTAGCCGATGAGGTCCAGCGTCTTCCCACGAATGCGGGCCACTCCCGAGGCCACCTCGCAGATCTGCTCCATGCTCTGAACCCGCTTGCCTTCCCACAGTGCCTGGTACAGCCATGTGTTCCTCCGGTACATGTTGAGAATGTGGCTGTTGGTGGAATTGGCTGTCTCTTCCACGGCTGCGGACGGGATGTTTCACACAGCAATTCCGAGCTCGCTGGCAGCCTTGATGTCCACGTTGTCATAGCCACTGCCCACCCCCACGAGCACTCTCAAGGACTTGAAATTTGCCAGAACCTTCCTAGTGAGGTGATTGTGTGGTGCATCATGGGGCCCACGGCTCTGTTTAGAACTTTCTCGTGGATTTCCTGCGTGGACTGCATCATAGAAGGCCACGGTGGCCAGATCCTTCAGGATGGGCATGTCCACAGTGCAGTCACGGCCGACCAGGAACGCTGCCAGTGAGCGGGGGCTTAGGGGGTCTTTCGTGATCTGGCGGCGAATTCCTTCACAAATTCTGTCCAATCGCTGTCTCTTGACTTAGCGCTTATCCACAGGGCCATTCTTTACGGAACTTTGCAACTCTCAGATCAAAAGGTAAAACAGTCCTCTAAGAACTTAGGGGAACTCGCAGGAGTCTGTGTGCATGATGCCACTATGAACCCAATATAAATTTGTTCACAAACTCTATAGTTCACACGATGGGCTGTCCGTCTCTTTAAGGGAATATAGCTTCATTGGTTCAAAACCATTTAAGGTGATGAAACCCATTTGGTTGCAACTCAGCCACCATCGCGCAGTCAATCAACGAATCTCACCACGACCCCAGGTCTGGAGCTCCTGGAGTCCGCGACCGCTGGGGGTGGAGGCGGCTTCGGCCTGGTGCAGCCAGGTCCTTGCTCCTGCTCTGAGCCTCGGGCGTGGGTTGGGGGTCCACCCGGGTGTCCCGCATGGTGTCTAAGCTCCTCCCTTGCCGGAGCCCTGCGGACTGGAGGAGTGTTCATATCATTAAGGAGCTTTGATAATTATTTTGATTTTTAAAATTATATAATGCAAAAACAACAACAACAAAGAATAAACCTACAAATTTTGACCTTTAAAAGTCAACAAAGATTTTTAAAGGTCAATATTTGTAGGTTTATTTTATTTCTTCAATTGGGACATGTTTTCGTCCTTTTCTGTATGCCCTGCAATCTTTTGATGAGATTCAGAAATTTATAAAACAACTGTGTAATGTAGTATGTACAAACTTGCTTACTACAAGATAATACAACAATCAGTGAGGCTGTACATCCTGGTACTTCATTAACAGTGTCTTCAATGTGTCTTCTCTGGGCTTGTGTGTGTATTTTTAAGGTAAAGATATTTTTTCCCATTGTTTTCCAGACACTGTGGTCCTTTGCTTCCGCAGTTGATTGTAGTGTTTGTTTCTCTGAGGCTGTGGTAAGCATGTAACTTCTCTTCTCAGCAGTCATAAGTTATCATTCTCATTACTCTGCCATTTCCTTTAGCATTCCCTGTTTGGGGAGACAGAATCTAGTCATCAGCGGTAGCCCACAAAGCCAAACCTTTGAACATATGTTCCACTGTTCTCATTCTACACTGAGGGATATACTAAAAGTTGGACGTTTTCTCTTGAGCCCAATTGCTGTTCTGGGAAAGAAGAAGGGATGTGGTGAATATAAGCCAGACCTGGTTGCCTCGTACAGCAAGCTTTTCCAACCCGCCTTGTTTTGTTTTTGTTATGGCTCTGTTTTGTTTTAGGTTTTTAGCAGCCTGCAGCAATGGTTTTTGGGTTCTGTGTCTAGTGATAAGTGGAAAAGGGGGATGAGGAAAGGGCCTTACTGGCTCAACCAGAAACAGAAACTAAGAACTCATGGCTGTAGTCTCCCGTGGATGCCCCTGTCCTACAGTAAAGGAAATATCTTTGGAATGTAAAAAGAGAGAGAATAATAGGCAACACCCCAATAGGGAAGAATGAACAAATAACAAAGATGAGAGGTGCAAAGGCCAAGGAGAAAACCTTAAAAATGTGGTGTTGGAAGTTCTGCTTCAAAGAAATTGGTTCTGGAAAATTCTAAATTTACTTCTTTTGCTGCCACAGGTGGAAATTTCCTACCCTATGCTTATTATGCTCTTAAATCTTCTAAGGCTTCTCTGTTCATCCACTAACATTCCAGGGCATTCACAGTGACAGCCAAAGTTCGCCTCTTCTTTCTGCTATTCCCATGAAGCTCTTGTGGTCTGAGTGCTTTTCCATTGTTTTTGGGATCTGAGGAAATCTGCACATTTTGTGAGACTTCTATGTTAAGCTGTCTTGTAAAAATCTGTGCCTCATGTCAGAAGTTTGTGAGAGCAAAAGTGCAGGCATTGGGGTTTGGTTCACATATTTCAGAAACACCAAGGACAAATGTTTCTTCCTCATAATTTTCAGTCCTATTATTTCAAATGTGTTCCTGCAAAAAAATCAGAAAAAAAATTTATCAGAGCCCAAAGCACCTCAGCACATATGATAAAGTTGAATCTTCTATTTCACTTTATTCTTTTTTTCATCTCTGGTAATGTAGGTCAAAAAGTTTTCTTTCCCTTAGTAGAAACTAACTTAGAAATGTGAACTCTCTATGCCAAACATGTCACCTGTGGAATAGTTTATTGTATCTACTCATCTCAAAGAATTTTTAAGGACCTTAATCCATAGAAAAACTTAGAAACATGCCAGGAATAGAACAAATTCTTAACTGTTACATTATTTCTTAATGAGTTATTTTATTAATTAATCTTATATAAAGCTTAGTGGGACTGTGATCTGTACGTTTTCCCTGTCCTGTTTTTACCTATGTCAAATTAGCCTATAACTTTAGCTTCAGGGGTTTCAGAAAACATACTTGAATTTATGTGTTATATAAAAAGTGAATTGGATGGTATGCACATCACATTAAGAAAAGTTTTAGTTTGTGTCTAAGTTCACTGCATAGAAAAACTTATCATTAGTGTTTCCATTTACTTTCCTCAACATTTATCTGAATGATAGTATAATTTATTTCTAATTGCTTATTATATTGTAGTTTTCCACAGCATATTTTACAATATTCATGTTGTTCCCATATGTAAAAATGTAAGGCTTTTCTTTGTTTTAAAAATAATAAATTATAGGCCAGTGCTGTGTTTCATGCTTGTAATCACAGCACATTAAAAGGTTGAGATAGGTGGATCACGAGGTCAGGAGTTCAAGACCAGCCTGGCCAACATGGTGAAATCCTGTCTCTACTAAAACTACAAAAAATATCGCCGGCGAGGAGCGGTGACTCAAGCCTGTAATCCCAGTACTTTGGGAGGCCGAGACGGGTGGATCACGAGGTCAGAAGATCAAGACCTTCCTGGCTAACACGGTGAAACCCCGTGTATACTAAAAATACACAAAAATTAGCCGGGCGTGATGGTGGGCGCCTGTAGTCCCAGCTACTCAGGAGGCTGAGGCAGGAGAATGGCGTGAACCAGGGAGGTGGAGGTTGCAGTGAGCCGAGGTCTCGCCACTACACTCCAGCCTGGGTGACAAAGCGAGACTCCATCTCAAAAAATTAAAAAAAATAAATAAATTATAGCCTTTCCATTTGTATAAAAAGAGGAGTAATATATTAAGAACATAATAAAAAGTGTCTCTAATATCATTGAAATCTTTATTAAAATTTTCTTCTAAATGCTCTTTATGGGAGATTATAATGTATTTGTTGTGCAATTTTGTTACTCTAACCATATGCTAAGAATTCAAAATCTGCTCTTTATGGGAGCCCAGTTATGGTTGAACATGCTAGTTATCTAGAAAGAGTCTTCTTCCGTTGCATGCTTTGTTTATTCGGTATTTCACAGGCTAATGTTTATTTAATTTTATTTTCTAATATTATATATTCTTGTATTTCCTTGTTAGGATAGGCTGCCTTACATTATTTAATTGTGTTTTTAGATTCTGCTTATATATTATAATTTTGTATGACTATATTCAACTGTGTACAGTTGAATATGAATCAGTCAAATATGAATCAACCACACGTCTATTGCCAACATAATTCTCTGTTCATTTGCCTGTATAAACATTACTCATACTTTATTTATGACTTGTGTATTTGTTTTATTAGTTGGTGGTCAATTATTTTTTTAATCCTCTCTGGGTGAGTAGTTGTGGAAATTGTCTTAATTTCCACTTCTATATATTAATGAATCTATATTACTTTTGTGTTGAAGGAAACACTTCTGTGATTTGAAGTTAATTTTTTTTTACCTCTGAACTTTTTACTGGCCTCCTGCTCCCCAAAGGGACCTTGCTTCTGATGGCTTAGCACAACAAAACGTCTGTATTGTTGGTCTCAGACACCACTTTCCCGTCCACTATCCTGCGGGGGCTGTTCTTTTGGATAGCTTGCAGGTATTTACTGCTGTCCAGAGCATCCAGGAGATTGAAATCCTCCCCGTCTTCTAGGAGGCGGCAGTAAGTGGCAATCGCAGCCTCCAGCTCGACCTTGATGTTCCACAGGTCCTCGTGCTCTTGGGCGTGGTACCTCTCTTCCCGGTTTTGGGATAGCTCTGACTCCAGGTGCAGCAGGATCCTGTTGAGCTGCTCCATCTGCGTCTACCTCCCTTAGGCTGTTCTCCAAGCTGACTTTCAGATATCTCATTGAGTCCAGTTCGATATCCAAGGACTGGACTGTACATCTCAACCCCCTGAGCATCCTCTCAGCAGCTCCGATCTCAGCGGACTGCATGGTGACTACTCTGGTGCTCTCCTCAGTCTGCTGGGACCAGTACTTGTCCAGCTCCTCTCAGCTGTTCTCAGCCATCTCGTCATATTGGGCCCGGATGCCTGTCATGATCTTGCCAAGGTCCTGAGACTTGGGGACATCTACCTCCATGGTCAACCAAGAGCTGGAAATCAGGTATTATAGACCTTTAACTTCCTCCTCATGATTCTTCATGAAGAGCAGCTCTTCCTTGAGGGCCTCCATCTCTGTCTCCAGCAGAGGCTGACTGACACTGGTGTTATCAGTAATGTCGCACTCCACAAACTGGCACATGGCCAGGTCTGTCTCACTCTTTAAAGTCATCAGCAGCAAAATGATCATTGTCAGTCTGCAGGATGATGCAGGCATTGTCTGCAGCAGTGGCAAAGATTTTTTTATTAGTCTAATTGTCTGTCTTTGTGCCAGTAACATAAGATTTTGATTACTGTAGATTTCTAACATGTCTTGAAATCAGGAATTGTAATGCTTCCAACTTATTTTATGTGGTCCCCTGAAATTCCGTATACTTTGGGGAGTCACATTCTCTGTTTCTGTCAAAAATAATATTAAGAATTTCATAGGAATTGTATTAAATCTGCAGCTCAATTTGGGCATTATAGACACGTTCAAAATATTAAATTTTTAACTCTTGAACAAAAACATGTTGAAGAATAAATTGTTTAATTATCATGTATTTGTGAATTTTATGAATTTTCTTCGGTTATTGATTTCTAGTTTTAATCCATTTTGGTCAGAAATTATAGTCTGTAGCCTTCAATTTTTATTATACTTTAAGTTCTAGGATACATGTGTAGAACGTACAGGTTTGTTATACAGGTATACATGTGTCATGTTGGTTTGCTGCACCCATCAACTCAACATTTACATTAAGTGTTCTCCTAATGCTATCCCTTTCATAGCCCCCCACCCCCAAACAGGCACTAGCATTTGATGTTCCCTGTCCTGTGTCCACGTGTTCTCATTGTTTAACTCCTACCTATGAGTGAAAACATGCAGTGTTTGTTTTTCTGTCCTTGTGATAGTTTGCTGAGAATGATGGTTTCCAGCTTCATCCATGTCCCTGCAAATGACATGAACTCATCCTTTTTTAAGGCTGGGTAGTATTCCATGGTGTATATGTGTCACAATTTCTTAATCCAGTCTATCATTGATGGACATTTGGGTTGGTTCCAAGACTTTGCTATTCTGAACAGTGCCACAATAAACATACGTGTGCATGTGTCTTTATAGTAGCATGATTCATAATCCTTTGGATATATACCCAGTAATGGGATTGCTGGGTCAAATGGTATTTCTGGTTGTAGATACTTGAGGAATTACCACACTGTCTTCCACAGTGTTTGAACTAATTTACACTCCAACCCACAGTGTAAAAGCGTTTTTGTTTTTCCACGTCCTCTCCAGCATCTGTTGTTTCCTGACATTTTAATGATCCCCATTCTAACTAGCGTAAGATGGTATCTCATTGTGGTTTTCATTTGCATTTCTCTGATGACCAGTGATGATGAGCAATTTTTCATGTCTGTTGGTTACATAAATGTCTTCTTTTGAGAAGTGTCTGTTCATATCCTTTGCCCACTTTTTGATGGGATTGCTCGTTTTTTTCTTGTAAATTTGTTTAAATTCTTTGTAGATTCTGGATGTGAGTCCTTTGTCAGATGGGTAGATTGCAAAAATTTTCTCCCATTCTGTAGGTTGCCTGTTCACTCTAATGATAGTTTCGTTTGCTGTGTAGAAGCTTTTAAGTTTAATTAGATTTCATTTGTCTATTTTGGCTTTTGTTGCCATTGTTTTTGGTGTTTTAGTCATGAAGTCTTTGCCCATGCCTATGTCCTGAATGGTATTGCCCAGGTTTTCTCTTAGGTTTTTATGGTTTTGGGTCTTACATTTAAGTCTTTAATCCATCTTGAGTCAATTTATGTATAGGGTGTAAGGAAGAAATCCAGTTTCAGTTTTCTGCATATGGCTCGCCATTTTTCCCAGCAACATTTATTAAATAAGGAATCCTTTCCCCATTGTTTGTTTTTGTCACATTTGTCGAAGATCCAATGGTTGTAGATATGTGATGGTATTTCTGAGGCCTCTGTTTTTTTCCATTGCTCTATATATCTGTTTTGGTACCAGTACCATGCTGTTTTGGTTACTGTAGACCTGTAGTATAGATTGAAGTCAGGTAGTGTGATACCTGCAGCTTTTCTCTTTTTGTGTAGGATTTTCTTGCCTATGCAGGCTGTTTTTTGGTTCCATGTGAACTTCAAAGTAGTTTTTTCCAATTCTGTGAAGAAAGTCAGTGGTAGCTTGATGGGGATAGCATTGAATCTGTAAGTTATCTTGGGCAGCATGGTCATTTTCATGATATTGATTCTTCCTTTCCAGGAGCATGGAATGTTCTTCCATTTGTTTGTGTCCGCTTTTATTTCATGGAGCAGTGGTTTGTAGTTCTCCTTGAAAATGTCCTTCACATCCCTTGTAAGTTGGATTCCTAGGTATTTTATTCTCTTTGTAGCAATTGTTGAGTGGGAGTTCACTGATAATTTGGCTCTCTGTTCGTCTGTTATTGGTGTATGGAAATACTTGTGATTTTTGCACATTATTTTGTATCCTGAGACTTTGCTGAAGTTGCTTATCAGATTTAAGGAGATTTTGGGCTGAGACAATGGGGTTTTCTAAATATACAATCATGTCATCTGCAAACAGAGACAATTTGGCTTCCTCTTTTTCCTAATCGAATGTCCTTTATTTCTTTCTCTTGCCTGATGGCCCTGGCCAGAACTTCCAATACTATGTTGAGTGGGAGTGGTGAGAGAGGGCATCGTTGTCTTGTGCTGGTTTTCAAAGGGAATGCTTCCAGGTTTTGTCCATTCTGCATGATATTGGCTGTGGGTTTGTCATAAATAGCTCTTATTATTTTCAGATGTGTTCCATCAATACCTAGTTTATTTAGAGTTTTTATCATGAAAGGCTGTTGAGTTTTGTTGAAGGCCTTTTCTGCATCTATTGAGATAGTCATGAGATTTTTGTCATTGGTTCTGTTTATGTGATGAATTATGTTTATTGATTTGCATATGTTGAACCAGGCTTGCATCCCAGGGATGAAGCTGAATTGATCGTGGTGGGTAAGCTTTTGGATGTGCTGCTGGATTTGGTTTGTCAGCATTTTATTGAGGATGTTTGCATTGATGTTCATCAGGGATATTGTTTTTTTGTTGTGCTTCTGCCAGGCTTTGGTATCAGGATGATGCTGACCTCATAAAATGAGTTAAGGAAGATTCCCTCTTTTTCTCTTGATTCGAATAGTTTCAGAAGGGATGGTAGCAGCTCCTCTTTGTACCTCTGGTAGAATTCAGTTGTGAATTCGTCTGGTCCTGGACTTTTTTTGGTTCATAAGCTATTAATTATTGCCTCAATTTCAGAACCTGCTATTGGTCTACTCAGAGATTCAACTTCTTCCTCGTTTAGTCTTGGAGGTGTGGATGTTTCCAGGAATTTATCAATTTCTTCTAGGTTTTCCACTTTATTTCCGTAGAGGTGTTTATAGTATTCTCTGATGGTAGTTTGTATTTCTGTGGGTTTCGTGGTGATATCCCCTTTGTCGTTTTTTATTGCGTCTCTTTGATTCTTCTCTCTTTTCTCCTTTATTTGTCTTACTAGTGGTCTATCTATTTTGTTAATCTTTTCAAAAAACCGGCTCCTGGGTTGATTGATTTTTTGAAGTGTTTTCTGTAACATTCAATTTTTTTTAATTCTGTTAAAAAATTTTTTTCCTTATATTTATTTTTAGGACAATGTTTTATGAGCTTTTGACAAGACTGTGAGTTTTGTTGTTGTGTAGAGTGATCTCTATGCCTCTGTTACATCTAACTGTTTTACAGTATTTTCATGTCCTCTGTTTTCTTCTTAACATTCTCTCTGGCTTTATTATTAATTACAGAACTGGTGTATTAAAATATTGTTCTCAGTATATTGCAGTTTTTTGTTTATGTTCTGACAAAATATTATTGATTTATTTTAAAATCTTCATGTGAGGTTCATATATATGTGTGTCTGTATACATAATTAGATAAATACACACAATTATATAAACGTATATTACATAAATGTATATAATTTTCCTAGGTTTCCAGTGAATAAACTTTGTTATTATTTTGTCCTTTGTTTTCTTTGACAGTTTTAACTTATAGTTTATTTTATAAACTAAGACAGTTATTTAAAAAGTATTTTGCATAATGTGCTCGTGACGTTGTCCTCATTTCATTACGATTTGCATAAAATTGTTTTGATGCATCTTGCCACTTTTAGTCTGTTTTTGTTACTATATAGTAAGATGGCTCATATCTGTCATCCGAGCATTTTAGGAGATTGAGGTAGGAGGTTAACTTGAGCCCAGAAGTTTGAGACCAGCCTGGGAAACAAAGCAATACCATGTCTCTAAAATAAATAAATAAATAAATAAATTGAATCCCCTGTAGACAGATGTAGTTAGATTTTATTTTATTTTTTATCTCTGTACTCTATTTATGACTTTTGTTTGAGAAGTTTAGTTTGTGAGTAGCTACATAATTTCCTGCATTTGAAGGAATTACTTTTGACACTTTGTGGAGTAAAAGGTAAATATTAAATTTGAACTCAATTGAACATGGACTCAAACAATAGTCACCAAGTCCCGGAACAGGTTGTGTGAGCCCCTTGAAGCCTTCATCCAGCGCTGTTTCAGATAAATCTCTATTTCAATTTATTCCTATATCGTAGTTATTGAAAATCAATAGACAATCAAAAAAACAAGTTGACCTTTTTGTGTTCCTTGAGCCCCGTTGTGAAGAGCCTTCCTGACCGGACTTCATGCCAAATAACTCATTACAAAAAGAGCTGGGGTTCCAGACTGCGCCAAAGCTTCATGAGATCTCACGTTGTCTGTGGACGGATGAGTGGCCAATCTGGAGCCCAGGCTGTTGCTTCACAGTCTCGTGGTGAATCGTCCATAGTTTGGTGAGTTTAAATATATATATATATCTTTTCCCTTCTCCCCGTCCCATTGCAACTTGCTTATATATTTGCTTATTATATCTGCATTGCCATTTAAGTGGGATAAAGTTTGTTTGAATCACTGGCTGTGCGTGAGGTGCAGCAGGGAGTCCCAGTTGGTAATTGTAATGCTGAGGGAATTTCCCAGCATTGATGATGCTTGCTTACTGCTTATAAGTTAAAGTGTCAATATAGGGACTGGTTGTTACAAGAGAAATGTAAGCTGGAAAAGGAAAATTTTAATCTGACTTCCAGACTGGCCCTGGTACCATGCCAGGCCTGTCTTGACTGATCAGGCTCAAAGCTATCAGCCTATTGCTGAAAAAGCAGCTGTCCGAGTTGCCCAGTCAGGGTAAAACTGAATAACTAGTCAGTTTTCAGGGCAGAAGAGGGTAAAAACCCAAATCCTATCTCAAGGATGGGAAGTTAACTCTAATAAAATTCAATGGCCTGCACAAAGTGTAAAGTTCCTTGGCATCCTATGGAATGCAGGGAAACAGTCCATTTTACCAAAGGCTAACGCTAAAATACTAGAATTTGCAGCCCTACCACTGAAAAGGAGGTCCAAAATTGTATTGGCTTGTTTGGATTCTGGAGACATCATATTCTCCACTTGGGTAACATATTACAACCTCTGCATGCAGTCACTAGAAAACACTATGAATATCACTGGAGAGAGAAAGACAGCCTGGCTTTTCAACAAGCAAAACAAGCGGAGCAACTGGCCCTGGATCTATGGCCCTTATAGGATGAGTCAACAGAACTGCAAGTAACTGTCCTACATCAACATGCTAATTGGAGCCTTAGGTAGAAACAAGATGGGAAGAAGATACCTTTGGAGTTTTAGACCCAGAAGCTGCCAGAGGCTGGCAAAGCTTATACTCTTTGAGAAGCAGCTGTTGGCCTTCTACTGCGCTTGAAAGAAGCAGAACACCTTTGTTTTAATCATGATGTTTTTATGAGGCCCCAAATTCCTATTATGACTTGGGTCATGAGCTCCCTCAAAACCCATTGGATAGGGTACACTCAAGAATGTAGTATCATAAAATGGAAATGGTACATACAAGACCAGGATAAGCCAGAACTAAAAGCGGTATCATTTTTACATGAAGATGTGCAAAACTTGCCAACTCAGGAAACCACAGGGCAAGTCCTGCATATAGGGAAGGAAACCTCCCCTGCCCAATGGGGCAAATCCTTTAAAGAACTAAGCCCAGAGGATCAGAAACATGCTTGGTTACTGATGGTTCTACCAAATACATTGATGGGACCTGATGCTGGGAGGCCGTGGCTTATAATCCTGTTAAAAACATAAGCATTTCTGATGAAGGGAGGGGTGTGAGCAGCCAGCTGGCTGAACTAGAAGCCATCCTCCGAACTATTCAGGTGGAGGCCAGAGCAATTTGTTGCTTGTATACCGACTGTTGGTCAGCAGAAAATGGTCTTACTACCTAGTTGCCCGAATGGCAATGAAACAAATGGTGAATAATGAATAAAGAGGTTTGGAGAAAACAATACTAGGAAGATACCTGAATCCTGATGCACATTACTATTATTGCTGTTTTTCATATTGATTCTCATGCATCTCTGCATTCTCTTGACAGACTAAACAGCAGGTAGATCAACAGGCCAAAATTTCCAGCATAAATGCAAACTTGAATGTGGGTGAATGGATTACAACACGTTCAAGCCTGGCGATGAGACACATTATAATGTATGGTGGTATAATTGATAATGATTACCAGGAAGAGTTAAAGTTCACTTTACACAATACCACTCCACATTCTTTTGTTACAAGACTGCAGATTCGGGTTGCTCAATTGTCAGTGATACCTGGTACCTTGTTAACAATTAACCCCTGAGGAAATCTCTGCCCCAACAGAGGCTACGTACAGAACTGGGAAATTAAGATCCACTGGTATAGGTAGCTTAAATCCTGGAGCGAAAATATGGATACAGCCTCCATCAGATCCCGCCCCTAAGGCTGGTGACTTTGTAGCTATGGGAGCAGAAAATAAAAGGGTAGTACAATTTCCTAAAAATGAAAAACAATATCATGTTCCCCTTCAGTTTTGTTGTTACAGAGAATAACCTGTCTACTAGTAATCAGTACCTGGGTCATCATGTCTGAGGTGGAGAGTGAATTC